>NT_167245.2:3475719-3730801 GCF_000001405.40 Homo sapiens
GGCCAGGCTGGTTTTGAACTCCTGACCTCAAGTGATCTGCCTACCTCGGCCTCCCAGAATGCTGGGATTACAGATGTGAGCCAATGTGCCTGGCCTGTGAAGCTTTTTTATTTTTATTTTTATTTTTTTTGAGATGGAGTGTTGCTCTGTCACCCAGGTTGGAGTGCAATGGCATGATCTCAGCTCACTGCAACCTCTGCCTCCGGGTTCAGGTGATTCTCCTGCCTCAGCATCCCTAGTAGCTGGGATTACAGGCATGCACCACCATGCCCAGCTAATATTTGTATGTTTAGTGGAGACGGGGTTTCGCCATGTTGGTCAGGCTGGTCTCGAACTCCTGACCTTGAGTGATCCACCCGCCTTGGCCTCCCAAAGTGCTGGGATTACAGGAGTGAGCCAATGTGCCTGGCCTGTAAAGCATTTTTAATACTTGTTTTAAAATACTTGCTTGCTTTAAATATGCATCAGGTGATTCCAACATTTAAGTCAACTTGGGTTTTGATGTCTGTTAATTGTCTTTTCTTATTCAAGATTTTCCCGATTCTTGGTATGACAAGTGATTTTCGCTTGCATCCTGCACATTTTGGATTGTATGTTATGAGACTCTGGATCTTATTTAAGTCTGTTTTAGTGATCATCCTTTGACACCGCACTAGTTGAGCAAAGAGGGTGCTGCCTCACTGCTGTCAGGTTGGGGGAGAGGCCCAGGTTCCTCACTTGGCCTCTGTGAACACTTGAGGGAGCCGTGCTCCTTGTTATTGCTAGGTGTGGATGGGGGTTCAGGCTTCCCACTAGGTCTCTGCTGACACACCCTGGCTGAGAGAGTAAGAAGCACCTCATTCCTGTTCCCCACGGGGTCTCCAGTGACACTGGTTGTGATGGAGGGGGATTTCATACCACCAGGCGGGGCTGAGAGTCCCAGCTTCCTACTTGCTGGGGAGGGGTGCCTCAGCTGGGTGGGAGTTGATGGCTAAACTCCCCACTCATCCTTTATTGGCAGATATGGGGGTGAGAGTGTTGTTTTTTTTTTTTTTTTTTTTTTTTTTTGCCTGAAATAGAGTAGTCATTGTCTAAAAGTTTTGTCTTTCCAGGATGTTCCTTTGTTGGTCCTTTGGCCAGAGACTTTCCGGGATTTTTTTCATCTTCCTGTTGGAGTTTCCTGGTTGCTGGCTTTTCCAGCACCCAGTCTTGTATATATGAGGCAAAAGCCAAACCCAGGGAACTCACCACTATATTGTTTTTTCGGGTCTTGAGATTCCTAGCCAGTCTGCCTTCTCTGCATCTTTCAGGATCTTCTTATGTTTGTTTTATATATACCATCCAGGATTGTAGCTGTATTTAGCAGGAGGAATCAGAAGAGCATCTACGTCATCTTGTCTTGGAGCTTGAAGGCAGCTGGTTAAGTCCTTAAAACATTCAACACAGATTTTCCATATGACTCAGCAATTGGGTTCCTAGGTATCTACCTAAGAAAAATGAAAGCAGGCCGGGTGTGGTGGCTCACGTCTGTAATCCCAGGAATTTGGGAGGCCGAGGTGGGCGGATCACCTGAGGTCAGGAGTTTGAGACCAGCCTGACCAACATGGAGAAACCCCATCTCTACTAAAAATACAAAAATTAGCTGGGCATGGTGGTGCATGCCTGTAATCCCAGCTACTTGGGAGGCTGAGGCAGGAGAATCACTTGAACCCAGGAGGCGGAGGTTGCGGTGAGCTGAGATTGCGCTGTTGCACTCCAGCATGGGCAACAAGAGCAAAACTCTGTCTCAAAAAAAAAAAAAAAAGAAAGAAAAATGAAAGCGTATTGTCCACACAAATACTTGTATAAGAATTCATAGCAGTGTTATTCACAATAGGTATGAAGTAAAAACAACCAAATATCCATTGATCAGTGAATTGGTGAACAAAATATGGTGTGTCCCTTTGGGAGGCTGAGGCAGGTGCATCACTTGAGGTCAGGAGTTTGAGACCAGGCTGGCCAACATGGTGAAACCCCGTCTCTACTAAAAATACAAAAAATTTAGCTGGGCATGGTGGTGCACCCCTGTAATCCCAGTTACTTGGGAGGCTGAGGCAGAAGAATTGCTTGAACCTGGGAGGCAGATGTTGCAGTGAGCTGAGATCACACCACTGCACTCCAGCCTGGGTGACAGAACAAGACTCTATCTCAAAAAAAAAAAAAAAAAAAAAAGGTGTGTCCATACAATGGAATACTATTCAGCAATAAAAATGAATGAAATATGGATACATGCTGCAAAATGAATGAACCTCAAAAACATTATGCTAAGTGAAAGAAGCTAGACTCAAAAGGCTGCAGGAATCCACTTACATGAAATGTCTAAAATAGGCAAATCTATAGAGACAGAAAGATTAGTGATTGTCTAGGGCTCAGGTTTGGAATGGGGGCTAAGTGCAAAGGAATATGAAATTTCTTTTTGGTGTGATGGAAATGTTTCAAAATTAGATTGTGGTGATAGTTTTACAACTCTATAAATATACTAAAATCATTGAATTGTACACTTAAAATGGATGATTTTTTTTTCTTTGAGATGGAGTCTCGATCTGTTGCCCAGGCTAGAGTGCAGTGGTGCCATCTTGGCTCACTGCAATCTCCACCTCCCAGGTTCAAGCAATTCTCTTGCCTCAGCCTCCCGAGTAGCTGAGATTACAGGGGGCCACCACTACACCTGGCTAATTTTTGTATTTTTAGTAGAGACGGGGTTTCACCGTGTTGGCCAGGCTGGTCTCGAACTCCTGACCTCAAGTGATCCATCCACCTTGGCCTCCCAAAGTGCTGGGATTACAGCTGTGAGCCACTGCGCCCGACCAAAGTGGGTGAATTTTATGGTGTGTAAATTATGCCTCAATAAATCTGTGAGAGGAGAGGAGGTAGAGACATTTTGTGTTGTAGAATTTCTTAAGGAATTTTGCTGTCAAGAGCTGCAGAGAAAGTATGTCTAGCGAGACAGCATATGAGGTCATGAGAAATTTTAAAAAACTCATTATTTCAGAAAATTCATACACATAAATAGAGATAATGAAAAAGAACTCCCATATACCCGTGACCCAGATGCAATAATCATTAATTCAGGACCACTGATGCCTGTAATCCTAGCACTTTGGGAGGCTGAGGCAGGTGGATCACCTGAGGTCAGGAGTTCAAGACCATCCTGGCCAACGTGGTGAAACCCCGTCTCTAATAAAAAATACAAAAATTAGCCGGACATGGTGGTGCACGCCTGTAATTCCAGCTACTAGGGTGGCTGAGGCAGGAGAATCACTTGAACTCAAAAGGCGGAGGTTGCAGTGAGTCAAAATGGCATCACTGCACTCCGGCCTGGGCAACAGAGCGAGACACTGTCTAAAGAAAAAAAAAATTCAGGACCACTCTGGTTCCATCTCTACTCCCAACCTCCATACCAGATTATTTTAGAACAAATCCCAGATATGATATGATATGATATGACATGATATGATATGATATTGTATCATTTCTATCACAAATATTTCAGTATCCTAAAAGATAAGAACTCTTAAATAATATAACCATTTTGCTAGTATTATTTCTGAAAAGTTTACATAATTTCTTAATATTATCAAATATGCAATGTTTAGTTTTCCCAAATTCTCCATTAAATATATATACAGTTTGAATCAATATCAAAACAATATCCGTGCATTGTATTCAGTTGATATGTGTCTTAAGTCTCTCTTTCTCTTCTTTGAAGTGGAATTCACATTTTAGAACAGTTTTAGATTTATAGAGAAACTGAGAGGATAGTACAGAGTATTCCCATGTGCCCTCCCTGGATTCAGTGTCCCTTATTAATAACATCTTACGTGAGTGTGGGTATATGTGTTATAATTAATGAATCAATATTGATAAATTGGTCGGGCATGGTGGCTCACGCCTGTAATCCCAGCACTTCGGGAGGCTGAGGTGGGCGGATCACCTGAGGCCAGGAGTTTGAGACCAGCCTGGCCAACATGGTGAAACCCTGTCTCTACTAAAAATACAAAAATTAGCCAGGCGTGGTGGAGCACACCTGTAATTCCAGCTACTTGGGAGGCTGAGGCAGGAGAATCACTTGAACCTGGGAAGTGGAGGCTGCAGTAAGCTGAGATCATGCCACTGCACTCCAGCCTGGGCAACAGAGCAAGACTCTGTCTCAAAAAAAAAAAAAAGATAAATTATTATTAAAGTCCATACTTCATTCATTCAGATTGTCTTAGTTTTCACCTGGTGTCTTTTTGTCTGTTCCAGGATTCCATATTTCTTTTCCTTTTTTTTTTGAGACGAAATTTTGCTCTTGTTGCCCAGGCTGGATTGCAATGGTGTGATCTTGGCTCACTGCAACCTCCGCCTCCTAGTTTCATGCAATTCTCCTGCTTCAGCCTCCCGAGTACCTGGGACTACAGGTGCCCACCACCATGCCCGGCTAATTTTTTTGTATTTTGAGTAGAGACGGGGTTTCCCCATGTTGGACAGGCTGGTCTCGAACTCCTGGCCTCAAGTGATCTGCCCGCCTCGGCCTCCCAAAGTGCTGGATTGCAAGCGTGAGCCACCACGCCTGGCCTTCCAGGATACCATATTTCATGTATTTGTCATGTCTCTTTGGGCCCTCTTGGTTGTGACAGTTTTGCCAGTGTTCCTTGTTTTTGGTGACCTTGATAGTTTTGAGGTGTACTAGTCAGGTGTTATGCAGGCTGCCCCTCTTTTGGAATTTGTTTGGTGATTTTCTCATGGTTAGACTTGGAGCTTAAGTCTCTTTAAATCTTTTTTTACCCCCTTGACATTTATTTGTTGAAGAAATGGCTTGTTTCCTATAGAACTTTCCACATTCTGAATTTTGCTAATTGAATCACTGTACCATTTACCATATTCCTCTGCCTCCCCCATTTTCTTCTTAAACTGGTAGTTAGATTTAAAGACTTTATATGATTCATGATCTATTTTCTGGCAAGGCTACGTCATAGGTGGTATTGTGCTGTGTTTCTATCAGGAGGCATAGAATTCTAGTTGGTAGCCATGATGAGCATTGCTAGATCCATTATTTTCTTAGGGATTATAAAATGCAGATATTCTAAGTCTATTATTCTGTCTAAACTGATTTCATTTATACAGATTATGTCCCATCTACTATTTTGACATGACTTATTTAGGAAAGGCAGATTGATGCCATTCTTTCCCCTTTATTTAGCAGCTTTCAGAATAATGAGTTTGTTCTCTAGCATCTGCCAAAGGTAACCAATGACCCTTTATTTAGTATCACTATGAGTCAGTTGATTTGAATGTGTTTTAATCCGTTGCTATCACTATTTTTACTGAGGCTCCATTTATGCCATATTTGGGCAGTGCGAGCCTCAAGTTGATAAAATACTAATATCTTTGATGCCTTTCTTGTTTTCTGGTGATAAGATGTTCAGGCTCATCTTGTACATAAGCTGCTATATGTTTCTTTTTAGAGGAAATGGTACTAGGAGACCTCAGTTTGGGTGCTGAGGAAGGTTTGTATTTATTCATTTTTTATTTTCTAAGATAGGAGGAATAACATATTTGCTTGCTGATGGGAGTGAGCCACTGCAGAGGGAAAGGCGGTGTGCAGGAGATGGGGTATTGCTGGAGGAATGGCCCTGAGTAGGTGAGAGGCAGTGGGGTCTAGTGCCCAAGTGGAGGAGTTGGTTGTTAGTTGAAAGTGAGGAAGATGAGCTGAGCACATTGGCTCATGCCAGTAATCCCAACATTTTGGGAGGCTGAGGAGGGTGGATCACCTGAGTCAGGAGTTTGAGACCAGCCTGGGCAACATGGTGAAATCTCGTCTCTACTAAAAATACAAAATTAGCCGGGTGTGGTGGTGCATGCCTGTAATCCTAGCTAATTGGGAGGCCGAAGCAGGAGAATCACTTGAACCCAGGAGGCAGAGGTTGCGGTGAGCCGAGATTGCGCCATTGCACTCCAGCCTGGGCCATACAGTGAGACTCTGTCTCAAAAAAAAAAAAAAAAAAAAAAGAAAGTGAGGAGGATGGAGGCTGTGTAATGAAATACAAGAAAGTGTGAAATAGTTGCCTTGAAATTCTGTGAGTGAGTGGCCAGGAAAATGCCGTATACTTCTTTTTCTTTTCTTTACTCTAATTCCATCACAGGTTATCTGCTGGGTGTTTCTAATGGCCAACTTGAAGTTTGTAAATGTTTGATGAGCATGGTTGAGTATTTTTATCCAACCACTTCAGCTGCTTGGATGCAGGCATGGAGTCGGTGGGAAGTTGGAGGTAGCCAGAGCTAGGCTTTTGACAGGCAGGCATGATGGAGGGAATGAGGGAAATAGGAGTTGAGATGCAAGATAGCTCTTACAACAATGCTTCATGAAACCTAAGCGGGATAAGGTTGGGAGGGCACAGGATCTCATAATGTCAGGGTCAAAGGGGTTGGAGGTCTGGAGAAGTGAAAATATTGTTTGATCTTTGGAGGTGGACACTAGAGGGAGTGATCTGCAAGGACAGGAAGGGGGATACTTAAAACTGAGATTATGGAGAGGTTTCAGGTACAGGTACAGGTAATGACAAGGTCTAGATATGACTGTGGAGTGAGTGGCTGTGGTAGGGGGAGGACAAGATCACTGGAGGTGAGAAGGTCAAAAGGTCAAGGTGAGAGGCCAGGGTGTTGGGTGGAGTGTCTTGGTTGATAGAGAAGCCACAAAGAATGGTAGCAGGAGTGGGATGAAGAGAAAGACAGTGACCCAGGGACTGAAAATTTTAGTGAATTGTGAAGAGTGAGGAGTGACTGGAAGGCTGTTAAATGCTGGCAACAGGAGCAGCTGAAGGTGACGTTGGAGGCCACATGTACTGCAAAGCAGCTAAGGCCCTGCATTACTCTTGACCACCAGAGAAAAGTTCATGTATTCATTC
The DNA here is from genome assembly GCF_000001405.40 of Homo sapiens. Taxonomy (NCBI): domain Eukaryota; kingdom Metazoa; phylum Chordata; class Mammalia; order Primates; family Hominidae; genus Homo; species Homo sapiens. The sequence goes on from NT_167245.2 coordinate 3,482,625, forward strand.
ATTTATTCAAGCAGTAAGTTAACCAAGCTTGACTATCTACCCTGTGCTTAGCAAAACCCTCCCTGCCCTCACAGAATGTATATGTATTCATTACAAAATTGTCCTTATAAAGTCAGGACATCTTCAGGACACTTCCAGTTAATCAGACACCCCCGTCAATCCTTCTAGTTAACTGACAGTTTTTTTGGTTGTTTGTTTAGCAGTGAATTTTAATGAATAAAACATCTGGGATTAAAACTCTTTTTTTTCCTCCATTTTTTGAGATAGGGTCTTGCTGTGTTGCCCAGGCTGGAGTGCAGTGGTGCGATCTTGGCTCACTGCAACCTCTGCCTCCCAGGTTCAAGCGATTCTCCTGCCCTAGCCTCCCAAGTAGCTGGGACTATAGGTGCACACCACCACACCTGACTAATTTTTGTATTTTTAGTAGAGATGGGGTTTTGTTATGTTGGCCAGGCTAGTCTTGAACTCCTGACCTCAAGTGATCTGCCCGCCTTGGCCTCCCAAAGTGCTGGGATTACAGGCATGAGCCACTGTGCTCAGCCATATTAAAACTCTTGTGTAATAAATTCGCAGATATGGAAATCCTTCATTTTCCACAAAAAAACCCCATCCTGTGTAGATACCAGGTGACCTCATCACAAGAGTCAAAATGAAAGTGCTGTCAGCGTGGTGAGAGAGGTGGTGATGTCAGATCACCTGTGGAAGTGAAAGGACCTTGGAGTTGAAAGGAATCTTCAGGATGGTCTTGCCTCTGGCTTTCAAACTTTCTTTTCATCATGTCAAATGTAGAGGAATTTTGTCCATCAAACTCATATCTAGAATCCCAAAATAGAGAAGAGATATAGGATCAGCGCTCTGGCTGAGTCTTTCCCCTCCTGAGACCCCACCCCTACCCAGAGTGACCCTTCAAGGTTGCCATGGGATGTAGGATGCTGGGGAACACAGCCTGGAACTGTTCACTTGGTCCCATTTCTTCTTTTACTGAGGCCCAGAGGGGAGACGCGACCTGCCCAAGGTGACACAGGCTTGGGACCCATGCCCAGTGTCCTGCTTGCTGGTCAGGAGTGGCTGAGGAAAGCAGAGCAGGGGTGAGGTGGGAGGAAAGGGCAGGGCCGCACTGCCTTGGTTCTGGAGCCCTCGCTGATAGCCTTGGGCCTTTTTCACTTGTTTTTCTAACTTTGGGGACAAAAGATTTTCTTTCTTTCTTTCTTTCTTTCCTTCCTTCCTTCCTTCCTTCTTTCTTTCTTTCCTTCCTTCCTTCCTTCATTCCTTCTTTCCTTCCTTCCTTCCTTCCTTCTTTCTTTCCTTCCTTCCTTCTTTCCTTCCTTCCTTCCTTCCTTCTTTCCTTCCTTCCTTCCTTCCTTCCTTCTTTCTTTCTTTCCTTCTTTCGCAACAAAGGCATGATAAGAAATTTTTTGGTGGGTAGAGCAGAAGAGTATATAATAGTGAAAAAAACACTTAGCTTAGGAGTTTGACACAGTGTGATGTTGGTCAGACTAGCTAACCTCTCTGAGCCTCACTCAGTTCCTTCATCTGTAAAGAGGTTGGGGCTGGCGTGGGTGAGTGGGTGGGTGCTGGATGAAGAGGGAAGGAGATGGACAGGAGGCACCTGGCGGACTTGGCCAGTGTCAGCTGCCGTCCTAGGAGACTCTGGGCTGGGGCGGCATTACTGGTTATCCCTTTCCTGGGGAGGTTGACAATTAACCCTGGAAACAGTCTTTAAAATTTTTACTGGACACATATAATTATGGATTGACAATCTTCCATTTTAAATTTAGAAACTACAGGCAAAAGTTAAAGATATCACAAATGAGTTTTTTATTTTTATTTTTTCATGACAAGGAAATTAGTTGTGTGCTGGGGTCTAGTATGGGGAAAGAATCTATTAAAATATATTTAAAAAGGTAAATCCAAAAATTTATAATTACAAGAGTGAATGACAAGATGATTGTCAATAAAATTAAATAAGCAAAACAACTGCTTGCCCTTTAGAAAATGTATCCAAGCTCCAGGGATCCAAAATGTTTATGAATCTGTGGATGTCTGTGTGTGTGTGTGTGCGTGTATATTTTTTTTCGTTGTTGTTTCTCTGCCTCTCTCGCCAAACTATATGGAGCCCTGGCTAAGGATAGAGGACTGTCAGATGTGTTTTCAGGGGAATCGCTGTTTTCTTCACATCAGGGGGAAGTTCTTAGGCAGCTGAAAGCGGGGGCTCAGGTGGGCATGGGGGGGTGGGAGGGCTGAGGTTTAGGATGGGAGGGTGGGTGAGAGCTAGTAAGGGTGGGTGGGGCACTGGGGGTGGGCAGTGGGTACTTGGCTAGGGGTTCAGGACCTGTCTCAGGGCTGCTGTCCAGGGGGGTGGAGGAAGGGGTAGTGAAGGGGTCAGAGCACTCAAGATGCGCAGTGTAGGCAGGGGACAGGCTGCGGTGTGTGAAGAGGGTAGCCTGAGGTGGTGAGACTTGCTGATCACCCAGCTGGGCTGCCTTGGTCTACTCACAACTGGTCTTCCCTGTGTGTTTGGTAAACACCAAAGGAGGTAAACTCTCCAATCCTGGCCTGTGCTGATGGTGAGGCGGGAGAAGGCTTCCCTGGGTCCCAGGTCCCCAACCTGGCACAGTCATGGGTCAAGGGCTGCCTGTTCCTCACCTGCCTTCCTCACGGGGCTTCTGAGCCTAGCCTTGCTTCGGGCATTAGGAGAGTCTGCCTGGAAGGCTCTCTGGCCCCCAATGCCCTGCCCTCCAAGGCTCCCAGTCTAGGTGGGAGAGACATACAGAACAAATAGCATCGTGGGGGTGGTGGGAGGTGGTGTGAACATGTCTCCTGCAAGCTCTGGGAAGAAGCTGTGGCCACACAATGGAATGTCTCCAGCCCTGACCTCTCCTTGGAACTCAGACCTTTCTGCCTCTCTCGCCAAACTATACGGAGCACCTGGTAAGGATAGAGGACTGTCGGATGTGTTTTCAGTGGAATCACTGTTTTCTTCACATTCTTCACATCAGCCACCTCCTCCACTCCCCACCAGGATGTCAACTGAAACATGTCTCAGTCCAAATTCTTTATTCCCTGCTTCTGCAGCTATTCCCTCCCTCCCCGCAATCCTGGCACAGCGTATTGCTTAGGCTGGACTACGCTGTGAATGTGTCTCCCAAAATTCATGTGTTGGAAATTTAATTCCCATGCAACTGTTGGAAGGTGGGGCCTTTTGGGAGGGCCTTTTGGCAGAGCCGGCACGAATGGATTAATGTCATTATAAAAGGACTTGATGGAAAGAGTTCATCCCTTTTGCCCTTCCACTCCCTGCCACGTGAGGACACAGTGTTCCTCCCCTCCAGAGGATGAAGCAACAGATGCCACATTGGAAGCAGAGAACAGCCCTCACCAGGCAGTAGTGCCTTGATCTCAGGTTTTCTGGCCTCTAGAACTGTGAGAAAAGACATTTCTTTTCTTTTTTCTTTTTTTTTTTTTTAAGACAGAGTCTTACTCTGTTGCCCAGGCTGGAGTGTAGTGGCATGATCTTGGCTCACTGCAACCTCCGCCTTCCGGGTTCAAGCGATTTCCGGCTAATTTTTGTATTTTTAGTAGGGACGGGGTTTCACCACGTTGGCCAGGCTGGTCTCAAACTCTTGACCTCAAGTGATCCGCCCGCTTCAGCCTCCCAAAGTGCTAGGATTACAGGCATGAGCCACCGCGCCCGCCTCGTTTTGCTATTCTTCAACTTCGCATGTTTGGATTGCTACAGCTTGAGGTCTTTAGTGTCTGGTTTCCTTCGCTCCCTTCCACGGTTCTAAGATTGTTTTCTGCATCCTCCGTACCCCTCCCTCGGTGTCTTCCTGCTGGGAACTGCTCTTTCTGTCTGCCACGTGGTGGCCACAAGGGGGCAGCAGAGGCTGAGGAAAATCTGGTGAGACCAGGTTGGGGGCCTTTTCCCGGGCCCACGAGTTACTCCCCCCCGCCCACGGAGCACCTTCTGTCCGGGCGCCTCCCAGGCCGCTGCTGCTTCTTGGTTCTGCTTCCTTTTCTGAGACCCGCTGCTTTAGAGAAGATTTCTGGAGCAGAGATTTGGAGCAAGGATCTCCAAACTCTTTTGATCACACACTCCATTCAGTAATATATTTTGAACATGCAGCTAACAAACATGTGCAAACATAATGCAGGTTGAAAGAACAAACGCAAATCACATTAAAAGGGCATAAGATTGAAGATTTTATAATAGTTCTAATATGTTCTCTGCCTTCTTTCCTGTCTCTCCAGATCCCTGGAGGACCCCTAGGGCTGGTGCCCCTAATCTGGTGGCCCCCTGTTTAGAGCTCAACTGAGCTTTGATGTAGACCTGGCCCCTGTTAGGGTTTGGCCACACGACCTGTGACCCTGGGCAGGTTTCCTCAGATCATCGAGGCTCTGTCTCTCAGCTGTAAAGTGAGGACAGTAAGGACCATCTCATGGTATTAAGCTAAAACATTCACGGAAATAAATATGTAATGCTCAGAGTAAGATGCCACCTAGTGAACAGTGGGCCTGAGTATTTGGTGGTGGTCATTAGAGAGCAGAGGCGCTGGCCTCAGGGTTCAGCCCACAGTTCTGCCTGTGGAGAGGAGACTCAGTGACAAGAGAGAAAAAAGTGTCCGACATCCTGGGGACTGAGAATCTGCCTCTCAGGGTTGGACAGGGCAGGGCCTCTTCTGCCTCCAGCACCCCAGGCCTCTCTCCTCTGATTCTATCAGGGACGGAGGCCAAGGTTGGAGACCCCTAGGCCTTTTCACCTAACTTGGTTTTCAGATTCCTCCCACTAGGACTTGTGTGTTTCAGCCTTAACCATGGATGGGCCTGACCTACACGGGATTGAGAGGGTCAGTAAATTCGTCCCCACCACTGACTGGGTCACCTACCTGGGCAGTACACATGCTGCTCTCGGCAACTGTTTCTTCTCCTGACACTTATGATTTTATATACAAATTGTTGGAAGTTATGTCGTAATATAGTCCTTTTGGTAAGAGTATATATGGTCAAGGATACTGTGACTGAATTTGAAGAGTAAATAATACAGCTGTGTATTGAGCTATATAATGACTAGGGCTCTCTTTATTTTGGGGACAGAGTGAGAACTTCTTCACTTATAAGGTGGCTTTGTCTTGATTGGTGAAAATAGAGAATTATTTCATTGTTGTATAAAAGTTCAGGCCGGGCACGGTGGCTCATGCCTGTAATCCCAGCACCTTGGGAGGCCAAGGCAGGCAGATCACCTGAGGTCGGGAGTTCCAGACCAGCCTGGCCAACATAGCAAAACCCCATTTCTACTAAAAATACAAAAATTAGCTGGGTGTGATGGTGGGTGCCTGTAATCCCAGCTACTTGGGAGGCTGAGGCAGGAGAATCGCTTGAACCCAGGAGGCAGAGGTTGCAGTGAGCTGAGATTGTGCCACTGCACTCTGGCCTGAGTGACAGGGCAAGACTCTGTCTCAAAAAAAAAAAAAAGTTCAAATATGTGTAATATGAAAACTGTGCAGCCAAAGGTGTGACTGGTGCTCAATATTATTTTATTGCATCTTTGTTCCAAATCCACTCCATCTTTGTCCTGCCTTGTGGTTCTGGAGCTGGACCCTATAAACATTTCTTCTTTGCCATTGGGCACAACGTTAGACTTTGACAGTAAATTGCACTGGAAGGAATACTGCAAGACATAGCAGAGAAAACAGCTTCATTCTAGTTCTGGTACTTTTTTTTGAGATGGAGTCTCACTCTGTCACTCAGGCTGGAGTGCAGTGGCGTGATCTCGGCTCACTGAAACCTCTGCCTCCCAGGTTCAAACGATTTTCCTACCTCAGCCTCCTGAGTAGCTGGGATTACAGGTGCACACCACCACACCTGGCTAATTTTGTATTTTTAGTAGAGACAGGGTTTCACCATGTTGGCCAGGCTGGTCTCGAACTCCTGACCTCAGGTGATCTGCCTGCCTTGGCCTCCCAAAGTGCTAGGATTACAGGCGGGAGCCACCGCGCCTGGCCTGCCAGGCTTTCTTAATATGCCCTACCACCATGAAACTTATATTGGGGGGGAGACTCAGATAGGGGCCAATGGGGGCAAGTTTGAGCCTTGCCAGGTTGATACTTGGGCACTGAGCAGAGTGACTAGTGTCTGTGTTTTGACATGTGTGTATAACTCCTGTTGGAATGGGAAATGTTAATTTAGTTCCCCCACACAACCTGTTGGGCTGCCTCTTGCAAAACTGGGGCCTTTTGCCTGTGGTTCCATGAAAAGAAAAGGAATGTTTTTCTTTTGTAACGTGGCTTGGCCCCCACAGCTACGGTGCAGCAAGCAGGGTCATCAAAAGCCACTCTGCTCTTCTGGAAGCAGCTGAGAAAGGGAAGCCATAAACCTGACAAGCTGGTAAAAAGCTAATTTCTTACCAGCTAGCCTCTGGCCTTTCTCTCTCTGTGCAAATGAGTTGAGTGAACAATAAAAATCACTGTTTGTCTCCTCTGCAAAGTTTTGATTAATAGGGAAGAAGATTTGTGTGACTAGTCTTAGGTTGTAGTGAATCTTGTGTACTTTTGCTACTTTGAACTATAAATATTTGTATTGTTTGGCCCCTTCTCAGAAATCACCTTTTTTGCCATCTTCCTTTGTCTTTGCCTTTTTGTGTCGTTCTGTCATGGAGAAGGATACCATAGGATAGAACACAGGCCTAGGATCCCTGTAAGCCTGCTGTTCAAGCCAGCCCTGCAGACTGGTCGGTTACAAACTTTGCTGCAGGTCCTTGGAACAAAAACTGGATGAGATTTCCCTTGTCTTGTTTTATGTGGTTGAGAGCTTGACTTTGTAACCATGTAGGGGTACTCTCTCTCTTGATCTCTGCCATCTGGAGGGTGGAAATTCTTGGGTTCAAGTCAGGTGGCTGGTCTGAGAGGACTGGGAGTCTGAGACACATTAGCATACTCTTCGTCCTGAATGTGTTGAGCCCTTAGGTGAGTTTTGTCTTAAAACGTCCCATCTCTGCTGGTTGGATTTATTAGGACAAAAAAACAGTCCTATCTCTACAGGACTTTTGTTGTATTTTGCTATCTTAAACCCATTTCCAAGAGGGAATACTTGGGGATGCCTCCTCTAGGAATACTTCTTGCTGCTTATATGGCAAAAACCTGGAAAATTACCATCTGCAATTTAAAAAAGGTGTTTGAGTCTCTATTGGAACTAAGTACACCATTGAAAGAAAAAGGATTTTAGAGATCTCTTATCTAAAACAATTGAAGGAAGGTTAAACAGTAGTGTCGTGGGTAGCCTTAAAAATTCTCTTGAGCAGTTAAAATCATTCGCAAGCTTGAAAATGACTGCTCTAGATTCTTTCTGGGAAGAGCACTGGCAACCACCCTATGCTGTAGCACAGTAGCTAAATCTCTGCCCTTTCACTATGGTGGCCTGGGATCACTTCCCAGCTTAGGGAATGCGTCCTTTCTGGTTTTGTATTTGTGGGACTTTTTGCCATTCATTGATGGACAGCTTCTGATTTCCTGTCTTGAATATTCCTTGCTCTGAGATACCTTTGGGGTGATTCTAGATCTTGTAAAAAACTGCTTGGCATCTCTTTGGAGATACCTTGTGCATCTGTGGTTAAGTCATAACCCTAGTTAAGGCTCATTGGTTTCAGGTGGGAGGTTATCCTTGGTAGAGAGTTCAAAAGCCAGAAATATCAGCTGTTTGTTCCAGCTAAAAACTGGTAATAAGAGATCTGAAAGAATTTTCTTCAAGAGCTCTATAGTTAAAAGTCAACTTAATTAAAACTGATTTAGAATATATGTGTACAGATATTGTTTTAAAGCCTCTGCTCTCTCTCTGTAAAAACTTCTTAAGCAACTGAATTCTGTCTGCTTAAATTTTAATCTTTGTATGTAAAAGCTAGGAAACAAATATACTTTTAGAGATGGCTATTGACAGTTGTTTACAGTGAATAGTTATCACTACAGGGTGGTACTGCTTTTTTTTGCACATTTAGATAAGAAAAGCATGCTTTGGGGCACCTAGAAGGTATGGAATGAGGGCTAAGACTCCCATGGAGCATTAAGTGATTACAGAATAGGCTGATTGTTATAGGGTTGCCCACCAGCCTCAGGGGAATGTCCTTGCAGTGAAGTGCACCGTAAAAGCATTGCACTATCTTGTCCTGCGGTGTTCTCCTCTTTTGAGGACCCAGGATTCAGTGTAAAAGTTGGATCCTTAACTTTGGAAATCTGTTTTGCCTTCCAGCTGTGCCTGCTTATTAGGCCATAGAAACTGCATGCTTTCCTGGCCCTGTTCCTTAAAGGGCTCCACCCTAAAGCCAGTAATTCAATTAAGAAACTAACATCTTTAAAAAAATTTCAATGGGCAAGTGTGTCTGTTTTCCTAACCATCTTTTTTCTTTTTCTTTTTTTGAGACAGGGTCTTGCTCTATCACCCAGGCTGGAATACAGTGGTGAGAACATAGCTTACTGCAGCCTTGACCTCCTGGGCTCAAGTGATCCTCCCAGCTCAGCCTCCCCAGCAGCTGAGACCACTACGCCCAGCTAATTTTTGTATGTTTTTGTAGAGATGGGGTCTTGCCATGTTGCCCAGGCTGGTCTTGAGCTCTTGGGCTCAAGTAATCCTCCTGCCTTGACCTCTCTAAGTGCTGGGATTACAGGCATGAGCCACCACACACAGCTTCCTGGCCATCTTAACTGAACTTTTACTCATACCATTTTTCCTTGGTTTAAATAAAATATGAATTTTCTATTTCATTTCACTTAAGAATTGTGCCTTTAGAAATGCAGATTTGGAGTGGCATAGCTGACAATTATTTAGGGCAGGGAACAGGTAATCAGGAGAAGGTCCAAAATGAGGAAGAGAAACTTTAAAAACTGGCACATGAAGAATCTTACAAATCTATAAAATCTGCTTCTGTGTGTTTGTATGTCTGTGTGTTTATACATGTCATGTGTTTGTGATATTTTCACTACCAAAATATATGAAAAAGCTGTAATTAATGGCTTTTAGAAAAATAAGCACTTAAATATTTTATCAGAGAAATATATATATATACATATATATTTTTTAATACAGAGTCTCGCTCTGTTGTCAAGCTGGAGTGCAGTGGCGCAATCTCGGCTCACTGCAACCTCCACTTCCCGGGTTCAAACAATTCTCCTGTCTCAGCCTCCTGAGTAGCTGAGACTACAGGTACACGCCACCATGCCCAGCTAATTTTTGTATTTTTAGTAGGGCCAGGGTTTCACCTTGTTGGCCAGGATGGTCTTGATCTCTTGACCTCGTGATCTGCCCACCTCGGCCTTCCAAAGTGCTGGGATTATAGGTGTAAGCCACTGTGCCAGGCCGAGAAATAGAAATTTTAAGGCCTTTTAGTTCATGTGACTTCAGTGATCTTTGGTAAATAAAGATGGTTTTAAAGATTATTAATAAAATCAAATAACATCTTCAAAATGTATGCATTTGGTCTAAATTAGTCAAAGGTTTTGCAAGGCTACATCAAGGATGCAGTTATATTATTGGGCCTAAGCCATAGGGTGAAAGATATGGCCCAGGTAGAGAGTGAGAGTGAAAAGAGGTCAGAACCTTGGGGACATCATCACTTAAGGAAGAGGAGCTTCCCAGGGACAATGAGGACCACTACATGGGAGGCAGGATGCTTCAAGGCACAGAATAGTTTGAATCATAAAAGGCTTCCTACCTCCAGGAAAAGGGAAGAGCAGTGTAGTTAATATTTAGATTTACTTTGCATTGCATTTAATGGAAAATAAAGGGGAAAAAAATGTATCTTGTTAGTCCTATATCATCTGTGCTGTGGTTAGAAAGATTAAAATAATAAGTCTTTTCAAGAAGTGGGGGGATAGCCCTAATTTTGGCAGGCCATAAGACATGTAGTGTCTTCTAGAACTAGGGGAAGAATTAAGGCCAACCAGCATCAAGAAAAATAAGCACCTTGTTTACTGGGTTTAGTATCTGAGTCGTTTTGATGCTTTAGTTGGAATAGAAACCAAATTGAAAAGTGCAATCGATGGTGAGGAAGTAAAGAGTATGGACATGATTCCTCTGAAAAGCTTGGTTATAAAGAAAAGGTGCAGGCCGGGTGTGGTGGCTCACGTCTGTAATCCCAGCATTTTGGGAGGCTGAGGTGGGCGGATCAACGAGGGCAGGAGTTTGAGACCAGCCTGACCAACATGGTGAATCCCCGTCTCTACTAAAAATACAAAAAATTAGCTGGGCATGGTGGCACGTGCCTATAATTCTAGCTACTCAGTAGGCTGAGGCAGGAGAATTGCTTGATTCTGAGAGGCGGAGGTTGCGGTGAGCTTAGATCGCACCATTGCACTCCAGCCTGGGTGACAGAGCAAGACTCTGTCTCCAAAAAAAAAAAAAAAAAAAAAAGGTGAGAATAATAGGATATTTTGAAAGTTTTTTTTTTCTTTTTTGAAGATTGGAGAGTCTTGACTGCATTCATATGTGTTTGAGGGGTAAGGTATGGGCATGGGAAATAGGAAAGAGGTTGAAGATGAAGTATGGACTTCTGGGAGACAGGAGATGATGGAATCTAGAGCAGGATACTCAAAGGATGATCCGCAAATGGGTGGCACTGGCATCACCTGGAAGCTTGTTAGCAATACAAAATTGTTAGACTTCATCACAGATACAGTGAATTAGAATCTGTGGGTGTAGGGCTTTAGCAATCACCAGGTGATTTGGATACATGCTCAAGTTTGAAAATCACTTGGCTAGAGCACAGGTGAAGGGAAAAACTTTGTATGGAAGCAGGAATGCTACTTCCACTGAGATATGAGAGAAGGATGTGAGGATAGATCTCTGGGGCAATTAATAGAGTTGTGAGTTGATTAATTTAATTTTCTCTGTGTGTGTGTGTGTGTGTGAGAAATATTCAAAATAATAATGTCTTTTCAAGAGGTGGGGGGGATGGCCCTAATTGCGGCAGGCCATAAGACATGTAGTGTCTTCTAGAACTAGGGAAAGAATTAAGGCCAACAGCATCAAGAAAAATAAGAACTTTGTTTACTGGGTTTAGTACCTGAGTTATAATACAAAATTGTTAGACTTTATCCCAGATACAGTGAATTAGTATCTGTGAGAGTGGGGCTTTAGGAATGTACCAGGTGATTTTGATGCATGCTTAAGTTTGAGAATCACTTGGCTAGAGCACAGGTGAAGGGAGAAAATTTGTATGGAAAATCTGTATGGAAGCAGGAATGCCACTTCCACTGAGATATGAGATAAGAATGTAAGGTATGATCCTCTGCTGAGAATGAGGACTAGGAAGTGGTTTAAGAATATGCCTGAAGGTCTGCAAAAGCTGCCTTGGTCAATAGAAGGACATGCTTAAGTGAGCATGTTGGAGGCTCAGAGGAACATGGAGCTGAAGAATTGGGAGTCCAACATGCAGACTTTTTAATCTTCTGACAACTGAGAGGGCAGAGTTAATTTGATCTAGTAAGCGGATGTTTGAATTGTGGGTGCAACTGAATTGACTGATCATGGTTTAGGCTAGAAAGTTTCAGGTAATGTAGTCGGTAAGGGAAGGAAGCTGACTGACTGGAAACAAAAGGGGGAAGTGCCTGAAGGTACTAGTGAGGTCAAAGAAGAAAGGCAGTGGGAACTCTAGAGCACTAGAGCTGCAAAGATATTGGGTTTTGGTTGGAGAGTGAGATGCTGATGTGTAAGGTTTCAGAAGGGACCTCTTAGTCTCATTAAAATGCAAAGAAAGTATCCAGTAACAAAGGCAGAGTTCAAAACAAGGAAGAACTTGGAAGAACAGAGACAATTCAGAAGAGACTTTAAAACACAACTATAATCAATGAGAAATAAAAGCAGGTATCACATCTATGAAAGAACAAGATACTTAAACAAGGGAAGGATTAACAAGTAAACAACTCCTGAAAACTTAAAATATGAGAGCTCAGAATAAGTATTTAATAAAGGTTTGGGAAGGTAAAGGAGAAGAAATATCCCAGCAAGTATAACAAAAACATAAAAACATAGGCAATAGGAAAAGCAAAGATGTGAAAATAGAGGATTGAGTTTATATCAGTTACTTCATTAAACTTTCCTATTATTTATAGTAATTTGTCTTTAGATTAATTTGTCTTTAGATTCTATGGTGTAATCATGTCCTCTGTAAATGTTGACAGTTTTATGTCTTCCTTTCCAATCTTTTGGTTTCTTTTTCTTATCTCATTATGTTGGTAATGACCAAAATACAATGTTGAATAAAAGTGATGATAGTAGTCTCCTTGTCTTCATAATTTTAATGAGAATGCATCCCAACTTTCTCTTTTTGGAAGATGTGTTTCAGAATAAGAAAAATAGATACCCTTTATCAGGTTAAAGAAGTTCTCTTCTATTCCTGGTTTGTTTATTTATTTATTTTATTTATTTATTTGAGATGGAGTTTTGCTCTTGTTGCCTAGGCTGGAGTGCAATGGCATGATCTCGGCTCACTGCAACGTCTGCCTGCTGGGTTCAAGAGATTCTCCTGCCTCAGCCTCCCAAGTAGCTGGGATTACGGGCAGGCATCACCATACCCAGCTAATTTTGTATTTTTAGTAGAGATGGGGGTTTCACCATGTTGGCCAGGCTGATCTTGAACTCCTGACCTCCGGTGATCAGCCCACCTCAGCCTCCCAAAGTGCTGGGATTGCAGGTGTGAGCCACTGCACCTGGCCTTATTCCTGGTTTATTAATTGTTTTTTTCTTTAAGCCAGGGATGAGCAAACTACCACCCAATGGGCCAAATACAGTCTGCAACTTGTTTTTTTTTTTTTGTATAGCCCATGAGCTAAGAATGATTTTTACATTTCATGTAAAATGTCACATAATATTTTGTGACATGTGAAAATTATATGAAATTCAAATTTAAGTCTCCATAAGTAAAGCTTTATTGGAACATAGCCATGTTCTTCATTCATTTATGTATTGTCTATGACTGCTTTTGTGCTATAAAGGCAGAGGTGAGTAGTTGTGATGGAGCCCATAGGGACCTACAAAGCCAAAGTAAACATTTGGCCCTTTATAGAAAAAGTTTACTGATTCTTGTTTTAAGTCAAAAATGGTATTGGGGGAAAGTTAGGTTCATGGATGTGCAGACCAAGAATAAGGGAAAGATCTCAGCCCTAACTCCTTCTTATACAGATTTTCAATAGGTCCATCTTTTTCAGGTTTACCCTCTTACCCTAGACTTTCTTAGTTTTTAGCTTTCCATTTCTAGAGATTTAGGGCTCTGTCTAAACAGTGGTTTTCCTTCTGTGTAGCATTTCTTTGGATGCACAATAGGTTCCACTTTCATCAGCTCCGCTTTTCACCAGTTTTCCAGAAAAGCATTACAGTCTGTTGCTGTTCCCTGTTCCCCTTGTCTGCCTGATTATTTATTTTCAGAGTCATTTTAGCAGTGTTTGGGGAGGGAGTTATACCTTTTATTCCTCAGGTATCACCACTCTTCTCTTCCTACCGCGAAACAGCACAGTGAAAGGGAGGAGATGGAGTGAAGAGACCGAGGGCAGGGAGAGGGAGGGGGGTGTGACGGGGTGGGGAAGTGAGGAGGAAGAGGGGGAAGAGCTACTGGGGAGGAGGAAGATGGGGGAGGAAGAGGATGATGGGGTGGGGTGGTTCAGGGAGTGAATAGGCCGGGTTGGGTGAGATGAGGCTGGGTGTATGTGCTTGAGAAGTCCGGGAGTGCGGAGGGGCAGAAAGGTAGACAGTGCGTGCGGGAAGAGGGGATGGGGGTGGGGAGGCGAGGGCGGTCAGTGGGTTGAGAGGAGTGGGGAGAAGATTTAGGGCGAGAGAGGTGCCATCGTGCTGGGGAAGGCGGGACTAGGAGAGGTAAAAGAATGGGGAGAGAAATGGGAGGGAGAGAAGGAAGCTGAGGGAGATTTGAGGAGAGAAGGCGCTTGAGGGGGAACCAGGAGGGGAGAAGGCTTGTGAGGGGGAAATGTGAGAGGAGAAGGGGCGCGAGGGGGAACCGCGAGGGGAGAAGGGGCGCGAGGGGGAACAGCGAGGGGAGAAGGGGTCCCGCCTCCTGGCCGCGCCGCCCTAGGTGTCGCCGCCTGGCGGTTACGAGGAGGCCGCCTCCTGCTTGCCGGCCTGGCGGTCCTACTCGACACCGCAAGATTTCAAAAGGGAAATTCCTCCAGGGCTGAGTCACAGGGAAGAAAGCGATTTCCTCCGCCTCTTCCAAAGCGGTAGGTTTCCTTCCTCCGCCTGCCTCTTAAATAACGTGGTATCTCGCAGTTTGGCTGAAACCTGAATTAAATGCAATGCTTTTTTGACTTTTACTTTCTCCCAGAACAACAGTTGTGATATGATCTGTTTTGGGGCCCTTCCTGCGCTCCGCCCTGGGCCAGAGTATGTAAAGCTCGTGGGTCTCTGTGTGTGTCTGAGCAGCTGCTCTGCCAAGACTCCACACAGTTGTGTGTGTGTCGGACCCAAGGCCTTGGTGGCATGGGCTCATGAGGGAATCTCCTGATCCACCAGTCGCAAAGATCCATGGGAGAAGCATGGTTTCCTGAGGTCGCACCATCACTCACTTCTTCCCTTGGCTGGGAGTGGGGGTTCCTTTGGCTCTGTGTCGCTCCCAGGGGGGCTGTCGCCCCATCCAGCTTTTCTTTGTTCTCTGTGGGTCAAGTTGTTTTCCTGATGAGTCCCAATGCAAGTACCTGGATATTTCAGTTGAAGATGCTGTATTCACTTGCCTCTTTTGTTCCTCTCTGTGAGTGCTGTGGACCATAGCTGTTTCTAATCAGCCATCTTGGCCTGGCAACCTACGGTAGTAAATCTTAACATTGGATAGTGTGATTCTTCCTACTTTACTATTCTTTTTTAATATTGTTTTAGCAATTTTTGTTCTTTTGACTTTACATATAGATTTTAGGACCAGTTTGTCTATATCTACAAAAGGAAGCTTTTGATAGGAAACGTGTTAAACCTATAGACCGATATGAAGAGAATTGACATCTTTGTTGTCTTCCAGTTAAATGACACTGCATGTCTCTCCGTTTGTTTAGATCTATTTTTATTTTTTCATCAGCATTTTGTAGTTTTCAGCCTGCTGATTCTGTACATATTTTGTTAGATTTATACTTAAATATTTAATTTTCTTTGGAGTGGTTGTAAATAGTACTGTGCTTCAATTTTGGCTTCCTACTTTTTATTGCTAGCATAGAGGAATACAATTGATTACTATTCTGTAACATTGCTAAAAATGTGTTTGAAGTTTCCTCGGAGTATTATCTCTGGATATAAGCTTCTGGGCTGATAGGTCTTATTTTTTAGCAGTTGAAAAATGTTGTGCTACTTTCTTCCTGTTTTGTGTTTTTTGGTGAGAAATCCACTGTAATTCTAATTGTTGTTCTCCTATAAATAATGCTTCTTCTTTCAGAATGTTTTCAAGATTTTTTTAAGTTTTCAGAAATTTGATTATGATGTATCTAAGCATGGATTTCTTTGCATTTATCATATTAGAAGTTGCTTTAGCTTTTTAAATTACACATTTATGTCTTTCATTAAGTTTGAGAAGTCTTCAATCATTATTTTGTTAAAAAGTTTTTTCAGACCAGCCTGGGCAACATGACAAAACACTGTCTCTACAAAAAAAATAAAAAAAATTAGCTGGTCATGGTGGCATGTGTCAGTGGTCCCAGCTACTCGGGAGGCTAAGGCAGGAGGATCACCTAAGCCTGGGAGTTTGAGGCTGCAGTGAGCTGTGATCATGCCACCGCACTCCAGCCTGTGTAACAGAGTGAGAGCCTGTCTCAATTTTTTTTTTTTTTTTTAGCACCCTATGCCATCTCCTTCTGTAATTCCAGTCACAGGAATGTTAGACACTTTGTTATTGTCCCACAGATATTTGTTGCTCTGTTCGTTTTTTCTTTTCTTTCTTTCTTTTTTTTTTTATTATACTTTAAGTTCTGGGTTACATGTGCAGAATGTGCATTTTTCTTACATAGGTATACATGTGCCCTGGTGGTTTGTTGCACCCATCAACCTGTCACCTATATTAGGTATTTCTCCTAATGTTATCCCTCCCCTAACTCCCCACTCTCCGACAGGCCCCGGTGTGTGATGGTCCCCTCCCTGTGTCCGTATGTTCTCATTGTTCAACTCCCACTTATAAGCAAGAACATGCGGTGTTTGGTTTTCTGATCTTGTGATAGTTTGCTGAAAATGATGGTTTCCAGCTTTATCCATGTCCCTGCAAAGGACACAAACTCATCCTTTTTTATGGCTGCATAGTATTCCATGATATATATGTGCCACATTTTCTTAATCCAGTCTATCATTGATGGACATTTGGGTTGGTTCCAAGTCTTTGCTACTGTGAATAGTGCCACAATAAACATATGTGTGCATGTGTCTTTACTATAGAATGATTTATAATCATTTGGGTATATGCCCAGTATTGGGATTGCTGGGTCAAATGGTATTTCCAGTTCTAGATCCTTGAGGAATCGCCACACTGTCTTCCACAATGGTTGAACTAATTTACACTCCCACCAACAGTGTAAAAGCATTCCTATTTTTCCACAACCTCTCCAGCACCTGTTGTTTCCTGACTTTTTAATGATCGCCATTCTAACTGGTGTGAGATGGAATCTCATTGTGGTTTTGATTTGCATTTCTCTGGTGACCAGTGATGATGAGCATTTTTTTCATATGTCTGTTGGCTGCATAAATGTCTTCTTTTGAGAAGTGTCTGTTCATATCCTTTGCCCACTTTTTGATGGGTTTTTTCTTGTAAATTTAAGTTCTTTGTAGATTCTGGATATTAGCCCTTTGTCACATGGATAGACTGCAAAAATTTTCTCCCATTCTGTAGGTTGCCTGTTCACTCTGATGATACTTTCTTTTGCTGTGCAGAAGCTCTTTAGTTTAATTAGATCCCGTTTGTCAATTTTGGCTTTTGTTGCCATTGCTTTTAGTGTTTTGGACATGAAGTCTTTGCCCATGCCTCTGTCCTGAATGGTATTGCCCAGATTTTCTTCTAGGAGTTTTATGGTCCTAAGTCTTATGTTGAAGTTTTTGATCCATTTTGAGTTGATTTTTGTAAAAGGTGTAAGGAAGGGGCCCAGTTTCAGTTTTCTGCATATGGCTAGCCAGTTTTCCCAACACCATTTACTAAATCGGGAATCTTTTCCCCATTGCTTGTGTGTGTCAGGTTTGTCAAAGATCAGATGGTTGTAGCTGTGTGGTGTTATTTCTGACGCCTCCGTTCTGTTCCATTGGTCTATATATCTGTTTTGGTACCAGTACTGTGCTGTTTTGGGTACTGTAGTCTTGTAGTATAGTTTGAAATCAGGTAGCATGATACCTCTAGCTTTGTTCTTCTTGCCCAGGATTGTCTTGGCTATGCAGGCTCTTTTTTGGTTCCATATGAAGTTTAAAGTAGTTTTTTCCAATTCTGTGAAGAAAGTCAGTGGTAGCTTCATGGGAATAGCATTGAATTTATAAATTACTTTGGGCTGTGTGGCCATTTTCATGATATTGATTCTTCCTATCCATGAGCATGGAATGTTTGTCCATTTGTTTGTGTCCTCTCTTATTTCCTTGAGCAGTGGTTTGTAGTTCTACTTGAAGAGGTCCTTCACATCCCTTGTAAGTTGTATTCCTAGGTATTTTATTCTCTTAGTAGCAATTGTGAATGGGAGTTCACTCATGATTTGGCTCTCTGTCTATTATTGGTGTACAGGAATGCTTGTGATTTTTGCACATTGATTTTGTATCCTGAGACTTTGCTGAAGTTGCTTATCAGCTTAAGGAGGTTTTGGGCTGAGACGATGGGGTTTTCTAAATATACAATCATGTCTTCTGCAAACAGAGACAATTTGATTTCCTCTCTTCCTATTTGAATACTCTTTATTGCTTTCTCTTGCCTGATTGCCCTGGCCAGAACTTCCAATACTATGTTGAATAGGAGTGGTGAGAGAGGGCATCTTTGTCTTGTGCCGGTTTTCAAAGGGAATGCTTCCAGTTTTTGCCCATTCAGTATGATATTGGCTGTGGGTTTGTCATAAATAGCTCTTGTTATTTTGAGATATGTTCCGTCGATACCTAGTTTATTGAGAGTTTTTGGCATGAAAGGGTGTTGAATTTTATCAAAGGCCTTTTCTGTATCTATTGAGATAATCATGTGGTTTTTGTTATTGGTTCTGTTTATGTGATGGATTACATTTATTGATTTGCGTATGTTGAACCAGCCTCGCATCCCAGGGATGAAGCCAACTTGATCGTGGTAGATAAGCTTTTTTATGTGCTAGTGGATTCGGTTTGCCAGTATTTTATTGAGGATTTTCACATTGATGTTCATCAGGGATATTGGCCTGAAATTTTCCTTTTTTGTTGTGTCTCTGCCAGGTTTTGGTATCAGGATGATGCTGGCCTCATAAAATGAGTTAGGGAGGAGTCCCTATTTTTCTATTGTTTGGAATAGTTTCAGAAGGTATGGTACCAGTTCCTCTTTGTACCTCTGGTAGAATTCGCCTGTGAATCCATCTGCTCCTGGGTTTTTTTTTGGGGTAGTAGGCTATTAATTACTGCCTCAATTTCAGAAATTGTTATTGCTTTATTCAGGGATTCGACTTCTTCCTGGCTTAGACTTGGGAGGGTGTATGTGTCCAGGAATTTATCCATTTCTTCTAGATTTTCTAGTTTATTTGCATAGAGGTGTTTATAGTATTCTCTGATGGTAGTTTGTATTTGTATGGGATCAGTGGTGATATCCCCTATATCATTTTTTATTGCATCTATTTGATTCTTCTCTCTTTTCTTCTTTATTAGTCTGGCTAGTGGTCTATTTTGTTGATTTTTTCAAAAAATCAGCTCCTGGATTCATTGATTTTTTTGAAGGTTTTTTTGTGTCTCTATCTCCTTCAGTTCTGCTCTGATCTTAGTTATTTCATGTCTTCTGCTAGCTTTTGAATTTATTTGCTGTTGCTTCTCTAGTTCTTTTAATTTCGATGTTAGGGCATCAATTTTAGAACTTTCCTGATTTCTCTTGTGGGCATTTAGTGCTATAAATTTCCCTCTAAACACCGCTTTAAATGTGTCCCAGAGATTCTGGTACATTGTGTCTTCATTTTCATTGGTTTCAAAGAACATTTTTAGTTCTGCCTTCATTTCATTATTTACCCAGTAGTCATTCAGGAACAGGTTGTTCAGTTTCCATTTATTTGTGCAGTTTTGAGTGAGTTTCTTAATCCTGAATTCTAATTTGGTTGCACTGTGGTCTGAGAGACTGTTTGTTATGGTTTCCATTATTTCGCATTTGCTGAGGAGTGTTTTACTTCTGATTATGTGGTCAATTTTAGAATAAGTGCAATGAGGTGCTGAGAAGAATGTATAGTCTGTTGATTTGAGGTGGGGAGTTCTGTAGATGTCTGTTAGGTCTGCTTGGTCCAGAGCTGAGTTCAAGTCCTGAATATCTTTATTTTCTGTCTCATTGATCTGTCTAATATTGACAGTGGGGTGTTAAAGTCTCCCACTATTATTGTTTGGGAGTCTGGGTCTCTAAGAACTTGCTTTATGAATCTGGGTGCTCCTGTATTGGGTGCATATATATTTAGGATAGTTAGCTCTTCTTGCTGCATTGTTCCCTTTACCATTATGTAATGCCCTTCTTTGTCTCTTTTGATTTTTATTGATTTAAAGTCTGTTTTATCAGAGATTAGGATTGCAACTCCTGCTTTTTTTTTGCTTTCCATTTGCTTGGTAAATATTCCCCCATCCCTTTATTTTGAGCCTATGTTTGTCTTTGCACATGAGATGGGTCTTCTGAATACAGCATACTGATGGGTCTTGACTCTTTATCCAATTTGCCAGTCTGTGTCTTTTAATTGGGGCATTTAGCCCATTTACATTAAGGTTAATATTGTTATGTGTGAATTTGATCCTGTCATTATGATGCTAGCTGGTTGTTTTGCCCATTAGTTAATGCAGTTTCTTCATTGTGTCAATGTTCTTTACAATTTGGTATGTTTTTGCAGTGGCTGGTACCAGTTGTTCCTTTCCATGTTTAGTGCTTCCCTCTGGAGCTCTCGTAAGGCAGGTCTGGTGGTGACAAAATCCCTCAGCATTTGCTTGTCTGTAAAGGATTTTATTTCTCCTTCCCTTATGAAGCTTAGTGTGGCTGGATATGAAATTCTGGGTTGAAAATTCTTTTCTTTCAGAACGTTGGATATTGGCCCCCACTCTCTTCTGTCTTATAGGGTTTCTGCAGAGAGTTCGGCTGATAGTCTGACGAGCTTCCCTTTGTGGGTAACCCGACCTTTCTCTCTGGCTGCCCTTAACATTTTCTCTTTCATTTCAACCTTGGTGAATCCGATGATTATGTGTCTTGGGGTTGCTCGTCTTGAGGATTATCTTTGTGGTGTTCTCTGTATTTCCTGAATTTGAATGTTGGCCTGTGTTGCTAAGTTGGAGAAGTTCTCCTGGATAATATCCTAAAGAGTGTTTTCCAACTTGATTCCATTCTCCCCGTCACTTTGAGGTACACCAATCAAACGTAGATTTGGTCTTTTCACATAGTCCCATATTTCTTTTTTTTTTTGAGATGGAGTCTCGCTCTGTCACCGAGGTTGGAGTGCAGTGGTGTGATCTCGGCTCACTGCAAGCTCCACCTTCTGGGTTCACGCCATTCTCCTGCCTCAGCCTCCCAAATAGCTGGGACTACAGGCGCCCACCCCCACGCCCAGCTAATTTTTTGTATTTTTAGTAGAGACAGGGTTTCACCATGTTAGCCAGGATGGTCTCGATCTCCTGACCTCGTGATCCACCCACCTCAGCCTCCCAAAGTGCTGGGATTACAGGTGTGACCCACCGCGCCCTGGCAAGTCCCATATTTCTTGGAGGCTTTGTTCGTTCCTTTTTATTCTTTTTTATCTAATCTTGTCTTCTCTCTTTATTTCATTAAGTTGATCATTAAGTTGATCTTCAATCACTGCTTCATCAGTTTGGCTATTGATACTTGTGTATTCTTCATGAAGTTTTTGTGCTTTGTTTTTCAGCTCCATTAGGTCATTTATGTTCTTCTCTACATTGGTTATTCTAGTTAATTTGATTAACCTTTTTTTAAGGTTTTTAGCTTCTTTGCATTGGGTTAGAACATGCTTCTTGAGCTTGTAGTTTTTTGTTATTACCCACCTTCTGAAGCCTACTTCTGTCAGTTCATCAAACTCATTCTCTGTCCAGTTTTGTTCCCTTGCTGGCAAAGAGCTGTGATCATTTGGAGGAGGAGAGGCATTCTGGTTTTTGGAATTTTCAACCTTTTCATGCTACTTTTTTCCCATCTTTGTGGATTTATCTACCTTTGGTCTTTGATGTTGGTGACCTTCGGATGGGGTCTATGAGTGGACATGCTAATCCTTTCTGTTTCTTTTCCTTCTAACAGGCCCCTTTGGTGCCAGTCTGCTGGAGTTTGCTGGAGGTCCACTCCTGACCCTGTTTGCCTGGGTATCACCAGCAGAGGCTGCAAAGCAGCAAAGATTGCTGCCTGTTCTTTCTTCTAGAAGCTTCGACCCAGTGGGGCACCTGTCAGATGCCAGCCAGAGCTCTCCTGTATCAGGTGTCTGTCGGTCCAAGCTAGAAGGTATCTCCCAGTCAGTATACACGGGGATCAGGGACCCACTTGAGGAGGCAGACTGACCCTTAGCAGAGCTTGAATACTGTGCTGGGAGGTCTACTGCTCTCTTCAGAGCCATCAGGCAGGGACGTTTAAGTCTCCTATAAGCCCCTGACTGGGGTTGCTGCCTTTTTTACAGAGATGCCCTGTCCAGAGAGGGGCAATCTGGCAGTCTGGCCACAGCAGCCTTGCTGAGCTGCAGTGGGCTCTGCCCAGTTTGAACTTCCCAGCAGCTTTGTTTATACTGTGGCCATAAAACCATCTACTCAAGCCTCAGCAATGGTGGACGTCTCTTCCACCACCAAGCTCAATCATCCCAGGTGAATCTCAGATTGCTGCTGTGCTGGCAGCAAGAATTTCAAGCCAGTGGATCTTAGTTTCCTGGGCTCCATGGGCGTGGGACCAGCCAAGCCAGACCACTTGGCTCCCTGGCTTCAGCCCCTCTTTCCAGGGGAGTGAACGGTTGTGTCTCGCTGGTGTTCCAGGCGCCACTGGGGTATGGAAAAAGAAAAAAAGCTCCTACAGCTAGTTCAGTGTCTGCCCAATTGGCCACCCAGTTTTGTGCTTGAAACCCAGGGCCCTGGTGGGGTAGTCACTGGAGGGAATCTCCTGGTTTGTGGGTTTCGAAGACTGTGGGACAAGTGCAGTATCTGTGCTGGAGTTCCTCAGGCTCAGACCCTCATGGCTTCCCTCGGGTAGAGGGGAAAATTCCCCGACCCCTTGCACTTCCCAGGTGAGGTGATGCCCCACCCTGCTTCGGCTTGCCCTCCGTGGGCTGCACCCACTATCCAACCAGTCCCAGTGAGATGAACCGTGTGCCTCAGTTGGAAATGCAGAAATCACCCACCTTCTGCCTCGATCTTGCTGGGAGCTGCAGACTGGTGCTGTTCCTATTCGGCCATCTTGAATCTTGCCTGTTCATTTTTTATTTTTTCTTTCAGTGTATTTTCCTCTCAGTTCAGGCTGGAAAATTTCAATTGCTCTATCTTTGAGTTCACTGATTGTTTCTTTTGTCATATTCATTCTGTTATTGAATCCATCCAGTGAGTTTTCATTTTGGTTATTTTATTTTCCAGCTATAAAATTTCCATTTGCTTCTTTCTTTCTTTTTTTTTTTTAGAAATGTTCATCTTTTTATTTTAAGTTCCGGGGTACATATACAGGATGTGCAGGTTTGTTACATAGGTAAACATGTGCCATGGGTAGTGTTCATCTATAGCTCTATCAATGCTTCTTGTCTTTAAGTCTACCTTGTTTGAGAGCTATGTCAGCATTCTTTTTTTTTTTAATTATACTTTAAGTTCTAGGATATATATGCACAATGTGCAGGTTAGTTACATGTCTATACATGTGCCATGTTGGTGTGCTGCACCCATTAACTCGTCATTTAACATTAGGTATATCTCCTAATGCTATCCCTCCCCCCTCCGCCAACCCCACAACAGGCCCTGGTGTGTGATGTTCCCTTTCCTGTGTCCATGTGTTCTCATTGTTCAATTCCCACCTATGAGTGAGAACATGTGGTGTTTGGTTTTTTGTCCTTGCGATAGTTTGCTGAGAATGATGGTTTCCAGCTTCATCCATGTCCCTACAAAGGACATGAACTCATCATTTTTTATGGCTGCATAGTATTCCATGGTGTATATGTGCCACATTTTCTTAATCCAGTCTATCATTGTTGGACATTTGGGTTGGTTCCAAGTCTTTGCTATTGTGAATAGTGCCACAATAAACATACGTGTGCATGTGTCTTTATAGCAGCACGTTTTATAATCCTTTGGGTATATACCCAGTAATGGGATGGCTGGGTCAAATGGTATTTCTAGTTCTAGATCCCTGAGGAATCGCCACACTGACTTCCACAATGGTTGAGCTAGTTTACAGTCCCACCAACAGTGTAAAAGTGTTCCTATTTCTCCACATCCTCTCCAGCACCTGTTGTTTCCTGACTTTTTAATGATTGCCATTCTAACTAGTGTGAGATGGAATCTCATTGTGGTTTTGATTTGCATTTCTCCGATGGCCAGTGATGATGAGCATTTTTTCATGTGTCTTTTGGCTGTGTAAATGTCTTCTTTTGAGAAGTGTCTGTTCATATCCTTCGCCCACTTGTTGATGGGGTTGTTTGTTTTTTTCTCGTAAATTTGTTTGAGTTCATTGTAGATTCTGGATATTAGCCCTTTGTCAGATGAGTAGATGCAAAAATTTTCTCCCATTCTGTAGGTTGCCTGTTCACTCTGATGGTAGTTTCTTTTGCTGTGCAGAAGCTCTTTAGTTTAATTAGATCCCATTTGTCAATTTTGGCATTTGTTGCCATTGCTTTTGGTGTTTTAGACATGAAGTCCTTGCCCATGCCTATGCCCTGAATGGTGTTGCCTAGGTTTTCTTCTAGGGTTTTTATGGTTTTAGGTCTAACATTTAAGAGGATACAAACAAATGGAAGAACATTCCATGCTCATGGGTAGGAAGAATCAATATCGTGAAAATGGCCATACTGCCCAAGGTAATTTATAGATTCAATGCCATCCCCATCAAGCTACCAATGACTTTCTTCACAGAATTGGAAAAAACTACTTTAAAGTTCATATGGAACCAAAAAAGAGCCCACATTGCCAAGTCAGTCCTAAGCCAAAAGAACAAAGCTGGAGGCATCACGCTACCTGACTTCAAACTATACTACAAGGCTACAGTAACCAAAACAGCATGGTACTGGTACCAAAACAGAGATATAGACCCTCAGAAATAATGCCACGTATCTACAACTATCTGATCTTTGACAAACCTGACAAAAACAAGAAATGGGGAAAGGATTCCCTATTTAGTAAATGGTGCTGGGAAAACTGGCTAGCCATATGTAGAAAGCTGAAAATGGATCCCTTCCTTACACCTTATACAAAGATTAATTCAAGATGGATTAAAGACTTAAATGCTTCTTTCTTATATTTTATATTTGTTGCTAAGATGTTCCATTAAAAATAATTTCGAAGTTATTCATAATTGCTTGTTGGAACATTTTTAATGATAGCTGCTGCAAAATACTTGTGAGATAATTGCAATACCTGTGTCATCTTGGTGTTGACACTGTTTGAATTTTCTTATTTAGATTTTTGTGGTTCTTGATAATGACAGGTGATTTTTTGTTTATATGTTGGACATTTTGAATATGGTGCATTGAGGCCTGGTTTCTATTTAACGTTTCTGTTTTAGTAGGCAGTCAACTTGTTTAGGTTCAGAACACATGTCTTGACCCATGTTTATGGGCCATCATGCAAATGTTAATTTAGTGTTCAAAGTCTTTATGGTGCTATTCTGGCTTGTCCTACTTGTGTGCTACTTAGAGGTCAATCTGAAGCCTGGTGATGTTTCACATCACTGTTAAGTTCTCAGGTTTTGTAGATGTCATTTCTGATCAGTTTTTAAAAATTTTTTTAAATTATTTATTTATTTTTGAGACAGAGTCTTGCTCTGTTGCCCAGACTGGAGTGCAGTGGCACGATCTTGGCTCACTGCAACCTCTGCCTCCTGGATTCAAGTGATTTTGCTTCCTCAGCCTCCCGAGTAGCTGGGACTACAGGTGTGCACCACCACACCTGGCTAATTTTTGTATTTTTAGTAGAGATGGGGTTTCACCATGTTAGCCAGGATGGTCTTGATCTCCTGACCTCGTGATCCACCTGCCTTGGCCTCCCAAAGTGCTGGGATTACAGGCATGAGCCACCACTCCTGGCCTATTTATTTATTTATTTATTTTGAGACTGAGTGCAAAAGTGTGTCGCCCAGGTTGGAGTGCAATGGCGCTATATCGGCTCACTGCAACCTCCACCTTCTGGATTCAAGTGATTCTCATGCCTCAGCCTCCCAAGTAGCTGGGACTACAGGTGTGTGCCACCATGCCCAGCCTCTGATTAGTTTCTTACATGTACTGCTCACAAGAATTTCATACACAGATTCAGAATATTCCTTTCTCTTTTTTCTGTAATCTTACCAGCCCCACATACTTTAGTTGGGATAGAGAAGAAACTGCCTTGTGATTGCAGGGCAGGGGTTCTGCACCCTGTCTCTACAGCTGCTGCACCAGATACCTTTTGATTCAGAAATTACTTTTTTGGAAATTTAACTTCAGGAAAAATTTAGATAAATGTGTAAAGAGACATACATTTACTGTAGTGTTGGTTTAAATGAAAAGATAAAGTCCACCTACAGGGGAGTGTTTAAATAAATTATGCACTGATTAAATATTATATAGATACATATTATTATGGAAAAATTTTCATGGTATATTGAGTGAAAAGATGCAGGTACGTAAGTTTGAAATCTACTTGGAAAAATGAAGTATCTATCTGTATGTATACTCAGGCATTGAAGAAAGTTAGTGATTTAACTTAAATGTTAATAGCAGAGTCATTTTAAGGGATGAGGATGGTTATAGTAATTTTCACTTCCCTCTTTTTTTTTTTTTACATTTTTTAGTATTGTCTGTTTTTAAATGACCATGCCTTGCTTTGTATTCAAAATAAATTACAAACTCTAATTTGAACAAATCAGATCTAGTCACTTGTCTGATGACCAGTACAGTTTTAATCTTAATAAGTCTTCTATTGCCAGTCATTTGATTCTTGTATCTTATGCTGTCCTGCCTGAGAGTAGTCCTACCAAAACCAGTTTTATCTGAGGTTTTTCTTTTCCCTTTTTTTTTTTTTTTTTTAGAATTGCTTTCCTGTAGAGGAGAAGGATTGAGACATGACCTTTGGTGAAACTGAAGCTATAACTTGAATAATATTCGTTAATCTGGGGAGAATAAAATTTTGAAAGAAGAAATTTAATTTTGATGCTCTTCTTTAAAACCAAGGGCTCCACATTGTCTGTAAGATAAATAATTAAAGCTTTATTTACTATGGCATTCAAGGGACTTCTCAATTGGGCCCCAATCTACTTTTCTGATATCATTTCTGATACTACTTTTCACTTATAGTCCGGCAAGGCCTGTCCACTCACTCTCGTTAGACCCTTCATGCTGTCCTACCTCTGGGCATTGGCTCATATTCACTCCTTGGAATAGACTTGATTTCACCTTTTAAAATCCACTTTTATTTGCTTCATCTAACTTATGACTTCTTCAAAGCAGATCAAATATCATCTTTTTGTGAAGTATCCCAGCACTCTATTAGGGTGAAATTATCATTCCTCCTGTAATATTTTGTTCCTAAGCTGTTTGTTACTGTATATGATAGTTGTTTAGTTTTTTCCTCTTAAGACTGAGATTCTTTCAGTAAGTTTTGAATGATTTTCATGAACCAGCTAAGCTTAACTCTGGAGAAACAAAGACGAAAAACATCTGGTTTCTCACCTCCAGGTGCACAGAATCTAGTAAAGCGGGTAAACGTATAAACAGAGAATAATTGAGGTATATAAAAGTGATTTGGGAACTGTGTGGAGGGCAGTCTCCCTTAGTAGGTGTTTAGGAAGACTTTACAAATGAGATGACATTTGACCTGAATCGCAAATAAGTAGGAGCTTGTCAGATGGATAAAAGGTAGAATGTGAGTCCTTTTAACACCTAGTCAAAAGTGATTGGATGGTGGTTAGTTTTAATGTAATTTTTCTTATTTAGTGTATGAAGATGTCCATAAGTTACAAAGCAGTGTGGTTTCATCAGAATTGCCACTGGACCACAGGGTACTTCATATGATAAAGAAGATGTTTCTTTCCACAGTCATTCAGTCCACCATTGAATAGATCTGAAAGGTGTAAAGTTCACTGATATGCATCTGATTTCTTTTTTTCTTTTTTTTTTTTGAGACAGAGTCTTGCTCTGTCACCCAGGCTGGAGTGCAGTGGTGTGGTCTCGGCTCACTGCAAGCTCCACCTCCCAGGCTCACGCCATTCTCCTGCCTCAGCCTGTCATGTAGCTGGGACTACAGGTGCTTGCCACCATGCCTGGCTAATTTTTTTTTTTTTTGTATTTTTAGTAGAGATGGGGTTTTGCTGTGTTAGTCAGGATGGTCTCGATCTCCTGACCTCGTGATCCGCCTGCCTTGGCCTCCCAAAGTGCTGGGATTCCAGGCGTGAGCCACCCCACCCGGCCATTTTTTTCTTTTCAACTTTTCTTAGGCTGGACAGACACATTTCAGTGATTGGCAAAGCACCTCATTAAACTTGGCTGCTATAATTTTTCTTCTTTTTTCATCTCATTTTCTATTCTCTCATTTTATTTTTGCCTTTGTTTAATCTACTCTTTGTTGGTTTGGAAGTTCCTTCTGTTTTTAGCTGATAAAAATCTACGACTAATCTCAGATAATTTTATTATTTTTCGTTAGTCATTTTGCTATTCAGGGGTGTTTTCTTTTTTTAAAAAAATAGACTTAATAGACTTAAATAGATAGTTATTATTTGGAATGGACTACATCCAAACAATTATGAGGAACAATTGTGAGGAACTCAGTTCCAGAAACTTTTGTATCCAGTAACTGATAAATAGATAAGTAATGTACTAATGGAAAAAACTCGATCAAATAATAAACCAAAGTCAATCTTTTTTTTTTTTTTCCCCTAAGATGGAGTCTTGCTCTCTTGCCCAGGCTGGAGTGCAATGGTGTGATCTTGGCTCACTGCAACCTCTGCCTCCTGGGTTCGAACAATTCTTCTGCCTCAGCCTCCCAAGTAGCTGGGATTACAGGCGTGCACCACCACACCCATCTAATTTTTGTATTTTAGTAGAGATGGGGTTTCACCATGTTGGCCAGGCTGGTCTCGAACTCCTGATCTTGTGATCTGCCCACCTTGGCCTCCCAAAGTGCTGGGATCACAGGCGTGAGACACTGTGCCCTGCCAAAAAATTTTTTTTTTTGAGACAGAGTCTCGCTCTGTCATCCAGGCTGGAGTGCAGTGGTGCGATCTCAGCTCACTGCAAGCTCAACCTCCCGGGTTCACGCCATTCTCCTGCCTCAGCCTCCTGAGTAGCTGGGACCAAAGACCCCTGCCACCACACCCGGCTAATTTTTTTGTATGTTTAGTAGAGACAAGGTTTCACCGTGTTAGCCAGGATGATCTCAATCTCTTGACCTTGTGATCCGCCCATCTCGGCCTCCCAAAGTGCTGGGATTACAGGCGTGAGCCACTGCACCCAGCCCAAAGTCAATGTTTTGACCAAGAGCAAGGCTACCACTTGTTATTATTAATTAATTAATTAATTAATTTTTGAGACAGGGTCTTACTATATTGCCTAGGCTGGCTTCAAACTCCCAGGCTCAAGTGATCCTCCTGCCCTGCCTCCTGAGTAGCTGGAATTACAGGTGCGTGGCGCCATGCCTTACTATTTATTTCTAAACACATTGCAGAACATGGAATTTAGGGAGGACAAATTTTGATGAATCAAATAGGTACAGTGATATGGGTAGAAGATTGGTTTACTTTATCATAATTCCTTAAATACATATTGTGTACTTGATTAATGAAATGTTAAAAATAAATGCTTAGATATCATTTGACATTAAATAACTCAATCACTAAGCATGAACTCCATATTTAAAAACTTTATAAAATTTTCAGAGCTCACACAGACAAAATTCCTTATTGTCATGATCACTACATATAAGTTTGAGTTCTTTCTTACTTTTTTTTTTTGAGACAGAGTTTCGCTCTTGTCGCCCAGGCTGGAGTGCAATGGCATGACTTCGACTCACTGCAACCTCTGTCTCCTGAGTTCAAGCGATTCTTCTGCCTCAGCCTCCCGAAGTAGCTGGGATTACAGATGCCCGCCACCACACCCAGCTAATTTTTTTGTATTTTTAGTTGAGATGGGGTTTTACCATATTGGCCAGACTGGTCTGAACTCCTTATCTCAGGTGATCCACCTTATCTCAGGCGCCCCCCGCGATGCGAGGAGTAAGAGCCAGCCCCTCTTCCCTCGGGCCTCCCAAAGTGCTGGGACTACAGGCATGAGCCACAAAGCCCAGCCCTTTCTTACTCTTCATTACATTGTTGAGTATAGTATTAACTATCCTATCAACTGACATTTATATTGCCATTTAATCCAGTTTGATAATTTTTGTTTTTAAAATGTGGCATTTCTTGTCCAACAGGAAAATATCACAATCCTAAATATATATGCACCTAACACTGGCGCTCCCAAATTTATAAAACAATTACTACTAGACCTAAGAAATGATATATACAGCAACACAATACTAGTGGGGGACTTTAATACGCCACTGACAGCACTAGACAGATCATTAAGACAGAAAGCCAACAAAAAAACAATGAATTTAAACTATGCCCTGGAACAAATAGACTTAACAGATATATACAGAACATTTTACCCAACAACTGCAGAATATACGTTCAATTCTTCAGCACATGGAACTTTCTCCAGGATAGACCACATGATAGAGCACCAAACAAGTCTCAATAAATTTAAGAACACTGAAATTATGTTAAGCACTGTCTCAGACCACAGTGAAATAAAACTGGAAATCAGCTCCAAAAGGAACCTTTAAAACCACGCAAATACATGGAAATTAAATAACCTGCTCCTGAATGATCATTGGGTCAACAATGAAATCAAGATGAAAATTAAAAAATTATTCAAGCTGAATAACAATAGTGACATGACCTACAAAAACCTCTGGGATACAGCAAAGGCGGTGCTAAGAGGAAAGTTCTTAGCCCTATATGCCTACATCAGAAAGTCTGAAAGAGCACAAATAGACAATCTAAGGTCACACCTCAAGGAACTAGAGAAACAAGAACCAAGCCCAAAGCCAGCAGAAGAAAGGAAATAACCCAGATCAGAGCAGAACTAAATGAAATTGAAACAAAAAAATACAGAAGTGAAACAAAAAGCTGGTTCTTTGAAAAGATAAATAAACTTGATAGACCATTGGCAAGATTAACCAAGAAGAGAGAAAATCCAAAGAAGCTCAAGTAGAAATGAAATGGGAGATAGTACAACTGACACCACAGAAATACAAAAGATCATTTGAGGCTACTATGAACACCTTTATGTGCATAAACTAGAAAACTTGGAGGAGATCGATACATTCCTGGGAAGAGAAAACCCTCCTACCTTAAATCAGGAAGAATTAGATACCCTGAACAGACCAATAACAAGCAGCAAGATTGAAATGGTAATAAAAAAATTACAAAAAAAAAAGTCCAGGGCCAGACGGATTCACAACTGAGTTCTACCAGACATTCAAAGAAGAATTGGTACCAATCCTATTGACACTATTCCACAAGATAGAGAAAGAAGGAATCCTCCCTAAATCATTTTATGAAGCCAGTATCATCCTAATACCAAAGCCAGGAAAGAACAAAAGAACATAACAACAACAAAAAAGAAAACTGAAGACCAATATCCCTGATGAACATAGATGCAAAAATCCTTAACAAGATACCAGCTAACCAAATCCAACAACATATCAAAAAGATAATCCACCATGATCAAGTGGGTTTCATAGCAGGGATGCAGGGATGGTCTAACATATGCACGTCAATAAATGTAATACACCACATAAACAATTAAAAACAAAAATCACATGATCATCTCAATAGACACAGAAAAAGCATTTGACAAAATGCAGCATCCTTTTATGATTAAAACTCTCAGCAAAATCAGCCTACAAGGGACATACCTCAATGTAATAAAAACCATGTATGATAAACGCACAGCCAACATAATACTGAATGGGGAAAAGTTGAAAGCATTCCCTCTGAGAATTGGAACAAGACAAGGATGCCCACTTTCACCACTTCAACATAGTACTGGAAGTCCTAGCCAGAGCAATCAGACAAGAGAAAGAATAAAGGCATCCAAGTTGGTAAAGAGGAAGTCAAACTGTCACTGTTTGCTGATGATATGATTGTATACCTGGAAAACCCAGAAGACTCCTCCAAGAAGCTCCTAGAACTGATAAAATAATTCAGCAAATTTCCTGGATACAAAATTAATGTACACAAATCAGTAGCTCTCCTGTACACCAGCAGTGACCAAGCTGAGAATCAAATCAAGAACTCAACCACTTTTTACAATAGCTGCAACAAACAAACAAACAAACAAATCACACAATCAAAAAAACTTAGGAATATAACCTAACCAAGGAGGTGAAAGACCTCTACAAGGAAAACTACAAAACACTGCTGAAAACAATCATAGATGACACAAACAAATGGAAACACACCCCATGCTCATGGATGGGTAGAATCAATATTGTGAAAATGACCATACTGCCAAAAGCAATCTACAAATTCAATGCAATTCCCATATAAATACCAGCATCATTCTTCACAGAACTAGAAAAAAAAATCCTAAAATTCATATGGAACCAAAGAAGAGCCCAAATAGCCAAAGCAAGGCTAAGGGAAAAGAACAAATCTGGAGGCATCACATTACCTGATTTCAAACTATACTGTAAGGCCATAGTCACCAAAACAGGATAGTACTGGTATAAAAATAGGGACAAAGACCAATGGAACAGAATAGAGAACCCAGAAATAAACCCAAATACTTACAGCCAGCTGATCTTTGACAAAGAAAACAAAAACATAAAGTGGGTAAAGGACACCCTATTCAACAAATGATGCTAGGATAATTGGCAAGCCACATGTAGGAGAATGAAACTGGATCCTCATCTCTCACCTTATACAAAAATCAACTCAAGAAGGACTAAGGACTTAAATTTAAGACCTGAAACTATAAAAATTCTAGAAGGTAACATTGGAAAAACCCTTGTAGACATTGGCTTAGGCAAGGATTTCATGACCAAGAACCAAAAGCAAATGCAATAAAAACAAAGATAAATAGCTGGGACTTAATTTAAGAGCTTTTGCATGGCAAAGGGAATAGTCAGCAGAGTAAACAGACAACCCACAGAGTGGGAGAAAATCTTCACAATCTATACATCTGACAAAGGACTAATATCCAGAATCTACAACAAACTCAAGCAAATTAGCAAGAAAGAAAGAAACAATCTCATCAAAAATTGAGCTAAGGACATGAACAGACAATTCTCAAAAGAAGATATACAAATGGCCAACAAACATATGAAGAAATGCTCAGCATCACTAAGGATCAGGGAAATGCAAATCAAAACCACAATGTGATACCACCTTACTCCTGCTTCTCTGAATCAGGGTTTTTCTAAAGAAATCTTTCAGAATCAGCAAAAGTGGGGATGACCCAGGCATCTTGATTTGCAAAGTCACAAAACTAAGTTGTCAATTATCACTGTAGATGAGCAACTCATCTTTTTAAAGTATAGTTACTGAACTGATTCTGAGAAATCTTTAGAGAGAAAAAACTCAACAGTACAAATTAACTAATTGGGAAAGTTAGAATGTCCTTTCTGAATTTTTCATTAAAAAATTACATTATCTGAAATAACATACAGCTACTAAACTGCTTTGTATTCTATTAAGAAATAGCTCCTAAAGATGTAGTCTTGTTTCATAGTTGTAAGCCCAATTCTTCTCTGTATAGAAAGGAAACATTGTGTACTTAATGAATTATTTATACAGAGCATTTGTTGCCAACTGTTGTTCCAGCTATCTACACAGGAGTCTGTTCTGAGGTGGCAATAGCACATGGGAAGATGAACTTTCCCTGTTTGTTTACCCGTTTTTCTTTGGCTGTATCTGATGACAGTATAAGATGTTCTTAATAAAGTTTTATGTTCTTTTTGAAAAAAAAATCAGAAAATAATAGAGGTTGGCATAGATGCGGTGAACAGGGAACACTTCTACACTGCTGGTGGGAATGTAAACTAGTACAACCACTATAGAAAACAGTTTGGAGATTCCTTAAAGAACTAGAAGTAGAACTACCATTCAATCGAGCAATGCCACTAGTGGGTATCTACCCAGAGCAAAAGAAGTCATTATACAAAAAAGATACTTGCACATGCATGTTTATAGCAGCACAAGTTACAACTGCAAAAATGTGGAACCAACCCAAATACCCATCAGTCAACGAATAGACAAGGAAACTATGGCATATATATATGGTGGAATACTACTCAGCCATAAAAAGGAATGAATTAATGGCATTTGCAGCAGTCTGGATGGGATTGGACACTATTCTAAGTGAAGTAACTCAGGAATGGAAAACCAAACATCATATGTTCTCACTCATAAGTGGGAGCTAAACTATGAGGATGCAAAGCCATAAGAATGATATTGGGGACTCAGTGGGAAAGGGTGGGAAGGGAGTGAGGGATGAAAGACTACAAATTGGGTTCACTGTATACTGCTTGGGTGATGGGTGCATCAAAGTCTCACAAATCACCGCTAAAGAACTTACTAGTGTAACCAAATACCACCTGTCCCCCTAAAACCTATGGAAATAATAAATAAATAAATAAAAACTTAAGTAAAAACAAATAAAATGTGGCCATTTAGTCCATTTATAATTAATGGAATTATTGATTGATATATATGGGTCTAAGATTATTTTATTGCTCGTTTTCTATTTTTTCACCTGTTTTGTATTCTATGTTTTCTTATGTTTTCGGCCTCCTATTTGTTTATTGAGACCACATCTGGCTCTGTTACCCAGGCTGGTGTGCAGTGGTGTGGTCTCTCTTGCAACCTCCACCTCCCAGGCTCAAGTCATCCTGCCACCTCAGCCTCCCGAGTAGCTGGGGCTACAGGTGCACACCAACATGCTCAGCTAATTTTTGTATTTTTTGTAGAGATGGGGTTTTGCTATGTTGCTTGGGCTGGCCTTGAACTCTTGGGCTCAAGGAATCCACTCGCCTCTGCCTCCCAAAGTGCCAGGATTATAGGCATGAGCCACTGCATCTGGCCTCTTGGCCTCCTTTTGGAATGATTTTTATAAATTATTCTATGATCAGCCTTTGTTAGTTTTGTATTATGCATTTTAAATTGTTATTGTTGTTACTTAGAAAATACAAATATATCCCTGATGTGAGTACTTTATTTTAAAATTTATATATTTAAACTGACAAATAAAAATTGTATACAATTATCATGTATAACATGATGTCTTGAAATACGTATACATCACAGAATGCTAAATCATGCTAATTAACATATATCAGCTCATATACTTATCCTTTTTTTATGATGAGAACACTTAAAATCTACTCAGTGATTTTTCAAGAATACAATAATGTTGTTTTAACTATAGTCTCCATGTTATAAAATAGATATTCTGACTTCCTTATTTATTCTATGAAACTAAATTTTGTATCCTTTGACAAACAACTCCCCAATTCCCCCATTTTCTGTCCCCCATTTCCCTGCTCCCAGTACCTGGTAACCACCATTCTACTCTCTGCTTCTTCGTTCAACTTTTTAAGATTCCACATATAAGTGAGATCATGTGGTATTTATCTTTCTGTGCCTTACATTTCACTTAACATAATGTCCTCCAGGTTCATCCATGTTGTCACAAATGACAGAATTTCCTTGTTTTTTAAAAGCTGAATAGTATTCCACTACATACATACATACATATATATATATATATATATATATATATATATATATATATATATATATATATCACATTTTCTTTATCCATTTGATGCAGGACAGACATGCCACAAAATTAGAGCTTAGCCCAGGAAAGTTCTTGACTTTGCCCAGGAATGAATTCAAGGGCAAGCCAGTGGTTTTAGACAGCAATCTTTTATTGAACTTTATTGCTCCTTGCAGAGCAGGGCTAACTCATAGATAATGTGCCAAGTTGGCAATGAATGGACTGTTGGCAACTCTATACCCACTTATACCCACTTTCAATCATATGCCAATCAGTGGTGGGTTAATGCAAATTGAGGAGTAGTTTATTTAAAGCTTTCTAGGAAAGGGGTGGTAACTTCTCGGTCATTGTCATGGGAAGGGGCAATAACTTCTGGGTCCTTACCATGGCATTTGAAAACCGTCATGGTGCTGGTGTCTTATACTAATGAGTAGTGGGGGCAACTAGGGATTGCTTTTGTTACCATCTGCTAGTTTCTGCTGTTTTTTTCACTTATCCTGTCAGTACCAGGAAATAAGTCCTGCCAGTCTCCTACCTCATTCCCCCCTCAGATATTAGATACTCCTCCTTAATCTTAAGGGGGCTGAAGAAGGGTGGAGGTCCATCTTCTGTAACTGCTTCCTGCTGATTTTATGGGCATAGGCCCTGATATGGTTTGGATTTGTGTCCCTGCCCAAATCTTATGTCAAATTTTAATCCCCAATGTCGGAGGAGGGGCCTGGTGGGAGGTGATTGGATCAAGGGGGTGGAGTTCCCCTTTGCCATTCTTATGATACTGAGTTCTCACGAGATCTGGTTGTTTAAAAGTGTGCAGCACCTCCCCCTTCTCTCTCTTCCTCCTGCTCCAGCCATGTAAGATATTGCCTGATTCCCCTTCACATTCCATCATGATTGTAAGTTTCCTGAGGCCTCCCCAGAACATGTACAGCCTGCAGAACTGTGAGCCAATTAAACCTCTTTTCTTTATAAATTACCCAGTTTCAGGCATTTCTTTATAGCAATGTGAGAACGGACTAACACAGAAAATTGGTACTGGGAAGTGGGGCATTGCTATAAAGATACCTGAAAATATAAATCTTAAACTATGAACTTTGGGTGATAATAACACATACACATAGATGAGACTATGAACAAATATTAGGAGAAGCAAATCGTAATTTTAGAAACAGTAAATATTAGTAATTGGCTAAAACTCAATAGGCTAATCAGGACATTAGACACTGAAAAGAAAATCAGTGAATTGGAAGGTAGACTTGAGGAAGTTGTCTATACTGCATTGCAGACAGACTTAAAAATACATAAAAACAAGGTTAACAGAAATAGAGACTAGAATGAGAAGATCAAAAATACATTTGAATTCCAGAAAGAGAATATAGAAAGCATGGAGGAAAAGCAAAGTTCAAAGAAAGAATGCTTAAGAATTTTTCAAAATTGATGAAAGACATTACTGTAAAGTTTTAAGATGCACCCTCCTAAAGCAGGAATAATGAAAATGGACTGGACACATAGTAGTGAAACTGTGTAACACCAAGACAAAGACAAAATTCTAAATATTACCAGACAGAAAAAGACAAAATAACCTGCAAACTAACTAGGTATTAAGCAGACTTCTTAAGAGCAAAAACAAAGGCCAAAAGGCAATGGATAACATCTTCAATTAGCTGAGAAAATACATTGAGTTCCTTATTCAGCAAAACTGTTATTTTATAATGAAGGCGAAGTTAATTTTTCTGGCAAAAGTCCAAGAATTTATTATTCACAGATCCTCATTTAAAAATGAAACCACAGGCGGGGTGCGATGGCTCACACTGGTAATCTCAACACTTTGGGAGGCCAAGGCAGGCAGATCACTTGAGGTCAGGAGTTCGAGACCAGCCTGGCCAACATGGTGAAACCCTGTTTCTATTAAAAATAGAAAAATTAGCTGGGTATGGTGGCACATATCTGTAGTCCCAGATACTCGGGAGGCTGAGGTGGGAGAATCGCTTGAACTCGGGAGGTGGAGGTTGCAGTGAGCTGAGATTGCACTACTGCGCTCTATCTTGGGTGACAGAATGAGAGAGCCTGTCTCACACAAAAAAACTAAAAACCAAAAAACAAAAAAATCAAACCACAAAGCAAGGATTAAGATACAAAGAGAAATAGTGAGCAATATTGGTAAATATATGAATATATCTGAAAAACACAGACTATAAAAATAATTTTATCATGACTAATTTTGGGGTGCATAAATGTAGCAGAATGAAAATATCAGACAACAATAGCAAAGACAGTGGAATAGTACTGTAAAATTATGCAATATGGAAAGCACTTGGTAAGGTGTCATAAACAAAACTGAGTAAATCAGTAATCATCATAAATACAAATGGTTTAAACTTGCCCCTTAAAAGATCTATACTCTAAGACAGGGAAAAAGGATCCAGTTATTTTCTATTCACAAGACTTATTGGAATCTGAAAAGTAAAATAATAGAGAAAGACAAAGCAGAGGAAAATATTAACCAAAAAGCTATTATTTAAAATAGAATTTAAATCAGAAATTACTATTTGAAATAAAGAATACTGGAAGTTCCTGGGAAAGATGGCTGAATAGGAACAGCTCTGGTCTGCAGCTCCCAGTGAGACCAATGCAGAAGGCGGGTGATTTCTGCATTTCCAACTGAGGTACCCAGTTCATCTCATTGGGACTGGTTAGAAAGTAGGTGCAGCTCATGGAGGGTGAGCAGAAGTGGGGTGGGTTGTTGGTTCACCTGGGAAGTGCAAGGAGCTGGGGACCTCCCTCCTCTAGCCAAGGGGAGCCGTGAGGGACTGTGCTATCCGGACCAGGGACTGTGCTATCTGGACCAGATACTATGCTTTTCCCATGGTTTTTGCAACCCACAGACCAGGAGATTCCCTTGTGTGCCTACACCACTAGGGTGCTGGGTTTCAAGCACAAAACTGGGCGGCTGTTTGGGCAGACACCGAGCTAGCTGCAATTTTTTTTTTCATAGGCCAGTGGCACCTGGAACCCCAGCAAGACAGAACCATTCACTCCCCTGGAAAGGGGGCTGAAGCCAGGGAGCCAAGTGGTCTCGCTCAGTGGGTCCCACTCCCCCAGCGCCCAGCAAGCTAATAACCACTGGCTTGAAATTCTCACTGCCAGCATAGCAGTCTGAAGTCGACCTGGGACAATCCAGGTTGGTGTGGGGAGGGGTGCCCGCCATTACTGAGGCTTGTGTGGGTGGTTTTCCCCTCACAGTGTTAAGGAAGCCACTGGGAAGTTCGGACTTTGCAGAATTCACTGCAGTGCAGCAAAGCAGCTGTGGCCAGACTGCCTCTCTAGATTCCTCCTCAATGGGCAGGGCATCTTTGAAAGAAAGGCAGCCCCAGTCAGGGGCTTATATTTAAAACTCCCATCTTCCTGGGACAGAGCACCTGGGGGAAGGGGCGGCTGTGGGAGCAGCTTCAGCAGACTTAAACATTCCTGCCTGCCAGCTCTGAAGAGAACAGCAGATCTCCCAGCACAGTGCTTGAGCTCTGCTAAGGGACAGACTGCCTCCTCAAGTGGGTCCCTGACCCCCATGCCTCCTAACTGGAAGACACCTCCCAGCAGTGGTTGACAGACACCTCATACAGGAGAGCTCTGGCTGGCATCAGACTGGTGCCCTCTAAGATGAAGCTTCCAGAGGAAGGAACAGGCAGCAATCTTTGCTGTTCTGCAGGCTCCACTGGTGATACCCGGGCAAATAGGGTGTATAGTGGACCTCCAGTAAACTCCAGCAGGCCTGCAGAAGAGGGTCCTGACTGTTAGAAGGAAAACCAAAAAACAGAAAGCAATAACATCAGCTGGGCATGGTGGTTTATTCCCAGAACTTTGGGAAGCTGAGGCGGGCAAATCACAAGGTCAGGAGTTTGAGACCAGCCTAGCCAATATGGTGAAACCCTGTTTCTACTAAAAATACAAAAAGTAGCTGGGCATGGTGGCGCGCACTTGTAGTCCCAGCTACTTGGGAGGCTGAGGTGGGAGAATCACTCGAACCTGGAAGGTGGAGGTTGCAGTGAGCCGAGATCACGCTGCTGCACTCCAGGTTGGGCAACAGAGCGAGACTTTGTCTCAAAAAAAAAAAAAAAAAAAAAAAGGCAATAACATCAACATCAACAAAAAAAAGGATGCCCACACAAAAACCACATCCAAGGTCATCAACATCAAAGATGAAAAGTAGATAAATCCACAAAGATGAGGAAAAACCAGTGCAAAAATGCCGAAAATTCCAAAAACCAGAATGCCTCTTCTCCTTCAAATGATTGCAATGCCTCTCCAGCAAGAGCACAAAACTGGACAGAGAATGAGTTTGACGAACTGACAGAAGTAGGCTTCAGAAAGTGGGTAATAACAAACTCCTCTGAGCTAAAGGAGCATGTTCAAACCCAATGCAAGGAAACTAAGAACCTTGATAAAAGGTTACAGGAACTGCTAACTAGAATAACTAGTTTAGAGAAGAACATAAATGACCTAATGGAGGTGAAAAAACACAGCACAAGAACTTCGTGAAGTGTACACAAGTATCAATAGCCAAATTGATCAAGTGGAAGAAAGGATATCAGAAATTGAAGATCAATTTAATGAAATAAAGTGTGAAGACAAGATTAGAGAAAAAAAATGAAAAGGAATGAACAAAGCCTCCAAGAAATATGGGACTATGTGGAAAGACCAAACCTACGATTGATCGGTGTACCTGAAAGTGACAGGAAGAATGGAACCAAGTTGGAAAACAAGCTTCAGGATGTTATCCAGGAAAACTTCCCCAGCTTAGCAAGACAGGCCAGCATTCAAATTCAGGAAATATAGAGAACACCACAAAGATATTCCTCGAGAAGAGCAACCCCAAGACACAAAATCTTCAGATTCTCCAAGGTTGAAATGAAGGAGAAAATGTTAAGGGCAGCCAGAGAGAAAGGTCAGGTTACCTATAAAGGGAAGCCCACTAGACTAACATTGGCTCTCTCTGCAGAAACCCTATAAGCCAGAAAAGAGTGGGGGCCAATACTCAGTATTCTTAAAGAAAATAATTTTCAGCTCAGAATTTCATATCCAGCCACACTAAGCTTCATAAGGGAAGGAGAAATAAAATCCTTTACAGACAAGCAAGTGCTGAGGGATTTTGTCACCACCAGGCCTACCTTAAAAGAGCTCCTGAAGGAAGCACTAAATATGGAAAGGAAAAACCAGTACCAGCCACTGCAAAAACACACCAAAATATAAAGACCAACGACACTATGAAGAAACTGCACCAACTAATATGCAAAATAACCAACTAGCACCAGGAGGACAGGATCAAATTCACACATAACAATATTAACCTTAAATGTAAATGGGCTAAATGCCCCAGTTAAAAGACACAGACTGGCAAATTGGATAAATACTCAAGACCCATCAGTGTGCTGTATTCAGGAGACCCATCTCATGTGCAAAGATACACATAGGTTCAAAATAAAGGGATGGAGGAATATTTAACAAGCAAATGGAAAGAAAAAAAAAAGCAGGGGTTGCAATCTTAGTCTCTGATAAAACAGACTTTAAACAAACAAAGATCAAAAAGACAAAGAAGGGCATCACATAATGGTAAAGGGATCAATATAACAAGAACAGCTAACTATCCTAAATATATATGCACCCAATACGGGAGCACCCAGATTCATAAAGCAAGTTCCTAGAGACCTATAAAGAGACTTAGACTCCCACACAATAATAATAATTCCTGGACACATACACTCTCCCAAGACTAAACCTGGAAGAAGTTGAATCCCTGAATAGACCAGTAACAAGTTCTGAAATTGAGGCAATAATTAATAGCCTACTACCCCCCAAAAAAGCCCAGGAGCAGACGGATTCACAGGCGAATTCTACCAGAGGTACAAAGAGGAGCTGGTACCATTCCTTCTGAAACTATTCCA
This sequence comes from Homo sapiens, assembly GCF_000001405.40. Classification (NCBI taxonomy): domain Eukaryota; kingdom Metazoa; phylum Chordata; class Mammalia; order Primates; family Hominidae; genus Homo; species Homo sapiens. The sequence goes on from NT_167245.2 coordinate 3,523,699, forward strand.
AACAATAAAAAAAGAGGGACTCCTCCCTAACTCATTTTATGAGGCCAGCGTCATCCTGATACCAAAACCTAACAGAGACACAACAAAAAAAGAAAGTTTCAGGCCAATATCTCTGAAGAAGATTGATGCAAAAATCCTTAGTAAAATACATGCAAACTGAATCCAGCAGCACATCAAAAAGCTTATCCACCATGATCAAGTCGACTTCATCCCTGGGATGCAAGGCTGGTTCAACATACGCAAATCAATAAACATAATCCATCACATGAACAGAACCAATGACAAAACCCACATGATTATCTCAATAGATACAGAAAAGGCCTTCGATTAAATTTGATACCCCTTCATGCTAAAAACACTCAATAAACTAGGTATTGATGAAACATATCTCAAACTAATAAGAGCTATTCGTGACAAACCCATAGCTAATATACTGAATGAGCAAAAGCTGGAAGCATTCCATTTGAAAACTAGCACGAGACAAAGATGCCCTCTCTCACCACTCCTGTTCAACATAGTGTTGGAAAATCTGGCCGGGGCAATCAAGCAAGAGAAAGCAATAAAGAGTATTCAAATAGGAAGAGAGGAAGTCAAATTGTCTCTGTCTGCAGATGACATGATTGTATATTTAGAAAACTCCATCGTCTCAGCCCCAAAACTTCTTAAGCTGATAAGCAACTTCAGCAAAGTCTCAGGATACAAAATTAATGTGCAAAAATCACAAGCATTCTATATACCAATAATAGACAAAGAGAGCCAAATCATGAGTGAGCTCACAATTGCTACAAAGAGAATAAAACACCTAGAAATACAACTTACAAGGGACGTGAAGGACCTTTTCAAGGAGAACTACACACCACTGCTCAAGGAAATAAGAGAGGACACAAACAAGTGGAAAAACATTCCATGCTCGTGGATAGGAAGAATCAATATTGTGAAAATGGCCATATGGCCCAAAGTAATTTATAGATTCAATGCTATTCCCATCAGGCTACCATTGACTTTCTTCACAGAATTAGAAAAAACGACTTCAAATTTCATATGGAACCAAAAAAAGGGCCCATATAGCCAAGACAATCCTAAGCAAAAAGAACAAAGCTGGAGGCATCATGCTACCTGACTTCAAACTATACTATAAGGCTACAGTAACTAAAAGAACATGGGACTGGTACCAAAACTGATATATAGACCAATAGAACAGAAGAGAGGCTTCAGAAATAACACCACATGTCTACAACCATCTGATCTTTGACAAACCTGACACACACAAGCAATGGGGAAAGGATTCCCTAATTAATAAATGGTGTTGGGAAAACTGGCTAGCCATATGCAGAAAACTGAAACTGGACCCCTTCCTTACACCTTATACAAAATTACCTCAATAAAGACTTAAACAGAAAACCTAAAACCGTAAAAACTCTAGAAAAAAACCTAGGCAATACCATTCAGGACATAGGCATGGGCAAAAAAGATTTCATGACTAAAACACCAAAAGCAATGGCAACAAAAGCCAAAATTGACAAATGGGATCTAATTAAACCAAAGAGCTTCTGCGCAGCAAAAGAAACTTGTCATCAGAGTGAACAGGCAGCCTACAGAATGGGAGAAAATTTTTGCAATCTATCCATCTGAGGAAGGTCTAATATCCAGAACCTACAGGGAACTTAAACAAATTTACAAGAAAACAAAACAACCTCATCAAAAAGTGGGCAAAGGATATGAACAGACACTTCTCAAAAGAAGACATTTATGTGGCCAAGAAACATATGAAAAAAGCTCATTATCACTGGTCCTTAGAGAAATGCAAATCAAATCCACAATGAGATTCCATCTTATGCCAGTTAGAATGGCAATCATTAAAAAGTCAGGAAACAACAGATGCTGGAGAGGCTGTGGAGAAATAGGAACACTTTTACACTGTTGATGGGAGTGTAAATTAGTTCAACCATTGTGGAAGACAGTGTGGTGATTCCTCAAGGATCTAGAACCAGAAATACCATTTGACCCAGCAATCCCATTACTGGGTATATCCCCAAAGGATTATAAATCATTCTACTATAAAGACACATGCACACGTATGTTTACTGCAGCACTATTTACAATAGCAAAGACTTGGAACCAACCCAAATGCCCATCAATGATAGACTGGATAAAGAAAATGTGGCACATATATACTATGCAGTCATAAAAAAGAATGAGTTCATGTTCTTTGCAGGAACATGGATGAAGCTATAAACCATCATTCTCAGCAAACTAACACAGGAACAGAAAACTAAACACTGCATGTTCTTGCTCATAAGTGGGAGTTGAACAATGACAACACATGGACACGGGGACGGGGATATCACACACCAGGGCCTGTCAGGGTGTGAGGGGCAAGAGGAGGGAGAGCATTAGGACAAATACCTAATGCAGGTGGGGCTTAAAACCTAGATGACAAATTGATGGGTGCGGCAAACCACCATGGCACGTGAATACTTATGTAACAAACCTGCACGTTCTGTACATGTATCCCAGAACTTAAAGTATAATAATACAAAAAGAAAGAAAGAATATCATTAAAATTAATAAAAGAAATTATTCTCCTGGAAAAAGCTGGATTCTATACACACAGAACAAATACCAAAAATGCATAAATGTAAATTGTATGAAGCAAAATTGTATCTCTTTACACAGTATACTAAGAAATCCAAGAAATGGCCAGAAAATTATTAGTAATGATATGAGAGTCTGATGTCACATTAATCAAGATAAATACAAAGATTACTTTTCTCTACACTTGTTAAAATTAATTTAAAAAAATGTAAAAATCACACTTACAATGACAACAAAACATTATAGGTACCTAGGAGTAAATATAACAAGAACTAATATGAAGAAGTCTGTAAACTTTTCAGAAAGCACCAATTGTAAAGTCTTGTGAAAGCACCAATATGAAGACCTAAACCAATGAAGACTCATACAACATTTCTGGGTGAAGTGACTTCAGTAATAACAATAATGTCAAATATCTCCAAATAGTTAACTCATTTTCAGCCAGAATGCTATTTTTTTTAGAGGGGAGTCAGGTAAAATTAAAGTTCATGTGGTGGAACATATTCCAAAAGAGCCAAGAAAACAAAGAACAAAGAGCAGAATGAGACATGCTTAATAGATACTCAAACTTTCTATATACCCTGTATAATCAAAGCAGTATGATATGACGTTTTTATCCTAATTGCCTCACTTTACAAAATTGTAATATTACCAATATACTGTATATCTGCTTGTGTATTTTATTGTCTATATATCTGCTTATGTACTTTATACATAAGCTGATAAGCAACTTCAGCAAAGTCTTAGGATACTGAACATCTGTGATTTATACCTGAAAAGAATAAATCGCAATAAATCATTGGATTTCTTGATCCACCCAGAACTCGTTTTTGACCCTTGGAGGGCAATGTGGCCCCTGTTGAGAATGCATGATTTAGGGAAAAAGAATAATTGATTCTACAAATGCTACCGATATAATTTGATATCTGTCAAGAAGGAAAAAAAGTGAAACCTCTGTTCACACCATAAACAAAATGGATTAAATATTTAATTGAAGAGAAATAGAAAATAAAAATTATAAAAGAAAAAAATTAAGTGACTATAAATATGTGTACCATAGTAGTCAAGGAGACCATTTATTTATTTATTTATTTATTTATTTTATTTTATTTTTTCAACTTTATTTTAGATTCAGCAAGTACATGTGGAGGTTTGTTACCTGTGAGTATTGTATAATGCTGAGGTTTGGAATATGAATGATCCTGTCACTCAGGTAGTGAGCATAGTAGCCAATAGGTAGATTTTCAACCCTCATCCTCCTCTCTTCTTCCCCTCTCTTCTTGTCTCCAGTATCTATTGTTCCCATCTTTATGTTCATGTGTACCCAATGTTTAGCTCCCACTTGTGAGAACAAGCTGTATTTGGTTTTGTTTCTGTGTTAATTAGCATAGGATAATGGCCTCCAGCTGCATCTGTGTGGCTGCAAAGGACATTTCATTCTTGTTAATGGCTGGGTAGTATTCCATGGTATATATGTACCACATTTCTTTATCCAGTCCACTACTGATGGGCACCTAAGTTGATTCCGTGTCTTTGCTATTGTGAATAGCACTGCGATGAACATATGAACGCACGTGTCTTTTTGGTAGAATAATTTTTCTTTGAGTGATATATATATATATATATATATATATATATGTAATGGGATTGCTGGGCCAAATGGTAGTTCTTTTAGTTCTTTGAGAAATATCCAAACTGCTTTCCACAGTGGCTGAACTAACTTACATTCTCATTAATCATGTATATGCATTCCAAAGAGACCCTTTAGAAAGCCCAGAAGTTTCCGAGGATAAGGCAGACATATTTGACTAGATGAAGTATATTTTTGTATAGTAAAATGTACCTTCATTTAATCTACTTCATGTCAGTTAACAAATCTTTGATGAGCATCTACTATGTGCGAGGCACTTTTCTAAGCATGGAGATTCAGCAGTGAACAAAGTCCCTTAGAGTTTACATTCTTGTGGGGCAGAAAGTCAATAAACAAAAATAAATATATGATGTCAGGTGATAAATGCTAGTAATAAAGATACATCAGGGCAAAGAGATAGAGAATGGGGGGTACTGTTTTACTTAGGGTAGTCAAATTTAAGCATATTTCTTAAAATAATTGAGTAGTGCATATGTTTGAGGGGGAGTGTTCAGGCTGATTCTGAAGCAAGAACATGCTTGGCAGGCATGAGGAGAAATGAGGAGGCCAGTGTGGCTGCATCAATGGAAGGGAGATGGAGAGTGGGTGATGAGGCTAGAGGAGAAGCCAGAAGCTAGATACTGTAAGGCCTTCAAGGCCAGGATAAGAACTTTCATGAAGCTGGGCCTGGTGGCTCAGCCTAATCCCAGCACTTTGGGAGGCTGAGGCGGGAGGGTTGCTTGAGCCCAGGAGTTTGAGACCAGCCTGGGCAACATAAGACCTCATCTCTAGCAAACCTAAAAAATAAAAAATTAGTTGGGCATGGTGGCGTGCATTTGTAGTCCCAACTACTCAGGAGGCCAAATGGAAGGATTGCTTGAGCCTGGGAGGTTGAGGTTGCAGTGAGCTGTGATCATGCCAGTGCACTCCAGCCTGGGCAACAGCTCGAGACCCTATCTCAAACTGACAAACAAAGAAACAAAAAAACAACTTTGCAATTTTTACACTGATGGGGGTTGGTCTTTGGAGAGTTTTGAGTAGAGAAGTGACTTCATCTGATTTATATTTTGAAAGCACGATTCCGTTGGGAGTGGGGAGTGGGATTGGGAAGCTCAGTTTGGAAGCAGGCACAGCAATGCAGGTGAGATATGGCAATGGTTTGGACTTCTTGATGAAGGAGATGAGTAGTAGTCAGATTCAAGATATAATTTTAGGGTACAGGTTGATGAATTGGATGTAGAGAGAGAATGAGTAGATTGGGAAAACATTTTCAACACAAATGGCAGATAAAAACTTAATATGCAAAAACACATAAAACTGAGTAAGACAACGGGCAAACCACCAGTTTGAAAAGCAATTAAATCACAGGAGAGAAAATTCAAAATACGATTAAACTTATGAAAAAATGTTCAGTCTCACTAGTAGTCAGGAAAATACAATTAAAGAAACAGTTAGATACCACTTTTCTCAATAGACAAAGATTAAAAATAGCTACCGCTTCCAGCACCAGTGCAAGTATGGGGAAGATAGGACTCTCATATCTTCCTGTAGGAATATGAATTATTACAAATTTGGGGAAAAGGAATTAGGTAATATCTATTAACATTAAAATACACATTTCTTTTGATCTGGCAGTTCTACTTCTGGAAATCTATCCTAGAGAAATAAAATCCTGATCATATATAGAGATGTGTATTGCAGTATCATTTGGCAATGGCAGAATCATTTAGCCAAAGGCAAAAGGTTGGAAACAAGCTAAATGTCTATCTTTAAGGAAATGGTTGAATAAGCAGTAATTCATTCACACTACTGGATGCTGTGCTATTAAAATGTTAGATTGATGTGTTGCCCATGATGTATTGTTAGGCGAAGAAGACAAGTTGCAGAATTATGTATATAGTTTGACCCTATTTTTAGAAAAAAATTCCTACATATACTCATATTTGCATATATTTTTATATAAACATGGATTAAGATGTGGAGAGATTCATAGAAAGTTAACACTGTGAGTTTTTAATTTTTGAAGAGAGAAACTTAATAAAGATTTGAATAGAAAATTTATTGAGACCTAGCTTACAACGTGTATAATCTGTAGTGTGGCATCTCAGGTTTGACTTCCCGGTCTTGGCAAGTGCTCAAGCTTCTGGATGATGACAGATAAGAGTGTCTTTATTCCTGAAACACTAAGATTACAGGCTTGTATTTCTTCGAAACCACAATTGGAACTTCTCAAGTAGAGTGTAGGAACACTAGTTGTTTTTTTCCTATTCCTGATTGTTTTTAAGGGGGAGAGTAAAGGAATCTCATCAAATATAAAACTGAATATTTTGATCAATTTTTCAGCTTATTCTTTTATTCCTTTGGATCCTGTTTTTTCCTTCTATATCTTGTCCCCTTTCTCGGTTCCCTGTATTCACTTCCTTGATATGTCAGTTATAACCTAGGGTGAGAGATATTTAGGGGAAAATGGGAAATTGCATTTTTTTATTTTTATTTTTTGAGACAGAGTCTCACTCTGCCGCCCAGGCTGGAGTGCAGTGGCATGATCTCGGCTCACTGTAACCTCTGCCTCCCGGGTTCAAGCAATTCTCCTGCCTCAGCCTCCTGAGTAGCTGGGACTACAGGTGTGCACCACCACGCCTGGCTAATTTTTGTATTTTTAGTAGAGACGGGTTTCCCCATGTTGGCCAGGCTGGTCTTGAACTTCTGATCTCATGATCTACCCTCCTCGGCCTCCCAAAGTGCTGGAATTACAGACATGAGCCCCACACTCAGCCAGGAAATTGCATTTTTAATGCACTACTAACTCAGGGAGTCTTTAATTGGGATAGGAGCCGCATTAACTGATTTTACATAAATTGTTTGTTTCCTAATATTTTGTGTTTCTCATTCAGCTTCATTATCTCTAAACTCACCTTTCTGCTTTTCTTTCCTATGTTCTGCTCCTAAATGAAAAATGACTAATTGAATTGACTTCTATTCCATTCTTGTGAACAGGACATTTGACATTTGTATTAGTTTATTTGCAAAACAAAATTTACTATTGATTTCTTAAGGTAAGTTTCACATTCCTACTTTTATATTGCCACTATCTTAGAAGTACATATTTATGTATTTTCTTAAAATTTTCATCATTTTGTTAAACATGGTGTCATTTTGATAGCTTGTCCTTTCTCCCTTCCTTTGTTTGGGGTCCTTTAAGATTTCCACATGTGTATCTTTACAGGAGGGTTAACAATTGCTTTAAATTTGTCAGTTTTTCAGTGGCCTTTAGAAAATGGTCCACAGAATTTTTATAGTTGGAGTATTCTATTGTATGATTTACTTGCCTTCAAAGACCTAGTGGGAGTGCAAATGTTTTGACCCCAAGTTAGAAGTTATGGAGAAGATACAGGGAGGTTTCTATAGATCTATCTCTTCTGAATTCTTGCTTCAGTGGGACATACACACAGATATGGAGTCAGCTGAGCTGGGTTGCTGAAGCCTATCTACTGTTTTTTAGTAATTGCCTTGACAAGGTCCCTGCTTCTTACCAGAAATCTGAGAGAAGTTGAATTAGTCATACCCTTCTAAAACCTAGTAGTGGCTGGGCACAGTGGCTCACGCCTGTAATCCCAGCACTTTGGGAGGCTGAGGCGGTGGATCACCTGAGGTCAGGAGTTTGAGACCAGCCTGGACAACATGGTGAAACCCCATCTCTACTAAAAATACACTAATTAGCTGGGCTTGGTGGTGCACTCCTGTAATCCCAGCTACTTAGGAGGCTGAGGCATGAGAATCACTTGAACCCAGGAGGAGGAGGTTGCAGTGAGCCAAGATCATGCCGCTGCACTCCAGCCTGGGTGAAGAGTGAGGAAAAACAAACAAGCAAACAAACAACCTACTAGTTAGCTGTCACATGGACCAGAGGGGCTATAGGAAAAATGACATGAGAATGATGAAAATCTAATACTTTTAACTATGTGAAAATCTTTCTGGTCAAAAATGTTCCCTGATAAACAGCATAATGTATGTAAAAGACATGCCAACAAAGGCTGGTAAAATCTCTAAATGTGTATTTTCCACAGATGACAAAAGCAACTTACAATATTAAAATCCATGTTTAATATCTGTCTTCTTCTCTCTCACTCTCTCTCTCTCTGGCAACTCAGTTTTGCTAAACCTGTGCAGCTCATCAAAGACCTGAGGATTCTGTGACTTCTAAAATTAACATAGGCTTCCATACCTGCGGCAGGGCTGTGAGAACACAGTAGACAGCCATACAGTGGATTAGATTGTGCTAGAAGTTATGGAGATACTCTTTTAAGGTTGTGATTGGGTAGCCTGAAACATTTATGAAACATTTTATACTTTGGGCAGAGACTAATGTCTGGTTTCTCTCCTTTTTTCATCAAACGCCTCCAAAGAATAGCATATCAGTATGAAAAGCTTCCTTGGAAGACATCTAGTTAGTCCAAAGAATTTGATAACTAGAATTATAGACTCTCAGGAAGTCTATTTGGAAGGGACCATAAAGATAACTTATTCCAATTACTCAGCTGTTTCCTGAGTCTCCTCTATGGCATTCTCACTGAATGAGCCTTAAACTCTTGCTTAAACTCTTTGGACCTCCACTTCTCCTTATTACTAAGATAAAATTTGTTACTTTGTACCTTCCATTCACTGATCTCATTTCTTTGGGGCTATACAAAATATTCTAATCCCTTATGAACTTTCACTATTTGAAAGTAATTCTCATTGTTTCCTCATATTTGTCTTCCCAGGGGAATTCTGCAACTTCCTGCACACTTGAGTCTTTCTCTCCTGAAGGCATTTAGTTTATCCACATCCCATGATTGAACTAAATGTATATTCAGGGTGTGGGCTAACCAGCACAGTATTGAACAGTATAAAAATAAAATTTCTAAAAATGATTATTTTAAAATAGACTAAAATAAGTTAACTCTGTTGGATGTTTGAAAGGCACATCCCACAACTACTTACTTGTATCTCTATATTCTTCCTGCTTACCTTCCTTCTCCTAGCTTCCTTTCTTTGGAAAGTGCTCTTTAGAAGTTCATTAGTCAGCTCCAAATAGCAACTACAGTGTTCTTTCAGTCCTTATTTTCCTTGAAGTCTCAGTCATTTTTTTCTCAAAACTCTCATCTTCCTTAATTATTGGAACATTCCACTATACAGGTTTTCCTTCTATCTTCCTATCCCTTAGTTAAATTTCTTCAATATATTACATATAACAAACTCAGTCCTTGGACTTCTGCTTTCGTTAGTCCTGTACTTCCTCCTTTGAAGAACTCACTCTTATTGCTTCAATTGTTACCTGTACTCATCTAATTCCAGATATCTCTTGAATGACAAATGTTATTGCTTATCCCCTTAAAACAATTTGTTGTTCCCTCCCTGTCCCCCAAATTAGTTCCTAGTTTGTTTGTTACCTAGTTTCAAAAGTTTTGAAACCATTGTTTTTTTCACTTTTCCTTACTCCTATGCAGTCAGTCATCATGAAGTAATGATTCTTCTTTGATTTTTTTCCTATTTATTCTCTTTCCATTACTTACTCCAAGTACTTCTTAATTAGATTTACTATCTATGATGTTTCTTTTTCTATCTTATTTTTCACAATCACATGATACAACCTTATTTTTAAAATGATACAACCTTATTCATTTCACTCTGTGTCTCAAACATTGTAGAATGCTTCCAGCTGCCTGAAGAGTAAAATATAAATTCCTGGCTTGTTTTTCAAATCCTTTTATATTCTCCTTTTCAAAATTATACCCCAGGATGCCTCCCATGAATCTTCCGTAACAGCAAAATTGCCTACTGCACCTGGAGCATGGCACGACAGCCTTTAACCCTTTACCTTTCTTTTACTCTTTGTAATTCACTCAGCATATCAACACCTTATCCATCTGCTGTGACATATTGTATACCACTACTCCCTTCCCCATGAAGTTACCACCTCTACTTTCTCATCCCATGATGGATTATGTTGTCCATCTAAACTTTTTGTAACTTAGATTTTACTTAAAAAATTGCCATGTATACATATATCACTATATATGTTATAAGCTACTTGATTGCAGGAGCTCTGACTTGTGTTTTTCTGTACACCCCTTATTGCTAGACCAGTGCCTTGCAAACATTAGGCTTGCCATGAGGAGTTACTGGTTGATTGGTTGGAAAGGCTATCATAGACATACTTGTCAAAGGAAATTACTATATATTTCTTTAATTAAAATGTTTTACTTCAGAAAGTATCCAGTCTTTCTTGACGGAATCATATACGTCTTAACTTATAAAACAAATATTTGGAAACTGAGGTTTGTGGCTGAGAGATTAAAAAGGGTGAAACTTCTGAAGAGCAGAAACTGTGATATGAAGATGAAAGGGATTTTATAATTGTAATCTGTTTAGGCAATGGCTGGGATATGGTTTGTATCTGGAGTATGGGAATCATAATAATCACTTGTCTTATGGGCCTTTAAAAAATTTATCCTTACTCTTCCACTTTTTTGTTGTACTTCCTTCCTGTATTTGCCTTCGCCCTTTTCGAGCCTTTTGATTTTTCACCATTGATTTCTGATTCTCTCTTTCCTTTAACTTTGTCCTTTCCTTTGTCACCTTTTGTGTTTTTGTCACCTTTTTCTTTTTTATTTGGATCTTTCTCTGCATCTCTCTCCTTTTCTTTATCATTATTTCCTTTATCCTCAAAACTCTCCTTCTTTTCTTGGGCTTCCTGTCCTTTTAGTACACCTGACTCACTCTTCTTTACTTGGGATTCCAGTGTTTCTGGTACACTCACCTCAGTGTTCTTTACTTGGGATTCTGGTCCTTTCAGTACACCTGCCTCACTCTTCTTTTCTTGGACCTCTTGTTCCTTTGGCACATCTGCCTCAGTCTTCTCTACTTGGCCTTCTTGTCCTTTTGGTACCTTCAACTCACTCTTCTCTACCTGGGCTTCCTGTCCTTTCAGTACAACTGACTCCCTCTTCTTTACCTGGGCTTCCTGTCCCTTTGAGACACCAGACTGACTCTTCTTTACTTGGGATTCCTGTCTTCTTGGCACACCCATCTCACTCTTCTCTACCTGGGCTTCCTGTCCTTTCAGTACAACCAACCCACTCTTCGTTACTTGGGCTTCTTGTCCTTTTGGGACACCTGACTCACTCTTCTTTACTTGGGACTCCTGTCCTCTTGGTACATCTGACACACTTTTCTTTATTTGGGCTCCCTGTCCTTGTGGTACACTCATCTCACTGATTTTTAGTTGGGTTTCCTGTCTTTTTGGTATTCCAGCGTCACTGTCTACCTTGACCTCCATTCCTATTTTGTCTTTCTCTAAATCAGTGCCTTTTCCTTCTCTTTCTGGCTCCTTTATGTGTGCTGATTTCAAGGATTCTACAGAATTCGTAAATATGATGTCATTCTTTAGTGCTTCCTTGTTTTCTTCTCGGCTATTCTGAGACCTTGCAGTGCCTCCACATTTTAGAATCTGGATTTTGGAACAAGATTTTTTTGCAAGTTCTTCATCCATGTAACCTGTTAATATAACTGAGCATACAACAAAAGGGCGTGATTTAGATATCAAGTATTTTCTCTTTATTTCTATTTTTTTCCCCTTGATACTGGTTCCTTTTTTGTCTTAAAACTGACAAACTAAAATTTTTCTGAATCTCAAGTTATCTAAAATGATGGTTCTCTGTACATAAAATTATAAAAGTATCGATAAAATTCTGGACTATTTTCAATAATTTGGAAGATTAATGAGAGAAAAGGTAAAATGTACTGTAAATGAACTGACATTTGTTCAGTGGATTATGGCTAATGAATAATGCTTAGTGGCTAACAGAGGATGTATTCTGAAAAGAAATAGAATTTGTTTTAAGGAAAAATTGTGGGAGGAAGCAATAATTATATTTCTCAAGACAGAAAAAGGAAACTCAAAAATGCTTTCCATATTGAATAAAAGCATATCTTATTATGCAAAAGTAATAACAGTACTAGCTGATAATTATTAAGTGCTTACCACATACCAAGTACTCACTGCTCTAAGCACTTTATGTATTAAATCATTTGATACTCACAACAACCAGGTAGGGTATTATTAACCTCATTTTACAGATGAAGAAACTGAGGCACAGAATGCTTAAATGAATATGAATAAGGTTATGTAATCAGTAGGTGGTGGAGCTGGGATTTGAATCTGAGTAGTCAGACTCCAGTGTTCAGTTTTGATCATTACTGTAGACTACTTCTTGCAATATCTGCAAACTCTGCAAAAATTTCAGGTCCTTTGATCATGTTCAGGTAAATCAGCTGTTACGTCTCAATTCCTGTGTGATTTAACAAACCTGAATTTATTGGCTTCTGCTAGGTATTTTTTATTTGCTTTTGTTTTTTTTAAGTAATATGGTTCCCTGAATTAAGTAAAAGAAATATCTGAGCCACCAAGGAATTGTGTGGGTTCTTGCCGTGGAGCAGAGGGATGTCTTGCTTTGAGAAAATCTAATATTTAATATTTACTATAGTAGAAAGAATACTGAATATAAAAGCTGAATCAGAAGACTTGGGCTGGGGGCAGTGGCTCACACTTGTAATCCCAGCACCTTGGGAGGCCAAAGTGGGCGGATCACTTGAGGTTGGGAGTTGGAGACCAGCCTGGCCAACATGGTGAAACCTGATCTCTACTAAAAATACAAAAATTAGCCAGGCATGGTGGCACACACCTGTAACCCCAGCTACTCATGAGGCTGAGGCAGGAGAATCGCTTGAACCCGGGAGGCAGGGGTTGCAGTGGGCTGGGATTGCACCACTGCACTCCAGTCTAGGTGACAGAGCGATACTCCATCTCACACACACACACACACACACACACACAAAAAAAAAAAAAGAAGACCTAGGTTTATTATTCCTGCTAGCTGGGTTTAATGGGTTTATTAAGGTAAATCAGTTAATCCTCAAAGATTCACTGTTTTTATATTTAGTTTGATCTGCTCACTTTGTAGAGTTACTAAATATTGTAGACAAATGTTAAAGTAACATAGCCTTTGGAGACAGACTGGTTCAAATCCTGCCTCCGCACCTGCCTAGCTGGGTGACCTTTGGCAAACTTTACTTTCTGTCTGTAAAATGGGGGCAATAGTAGTAGCTACCTCAAAGAGGTGTTATGAGATTAAATAATGTTATCTAAATAAAAGCACGTGGTACAGTGCATGGGACATAAGTAGTCAATAAATATTGGCCATTACTACTTCCCAATGAGATAGTACAGGAAAAAACTCTCTAATTCAATCAAGACAAGGCATTCTTAGTTTCCAACAAATAATTTACAGGAGTGGTTAATTGTATTACAGGAAAATTTCTTTTTTTTTTTTTTTTTTGAGATGGAGTTTCGCTCTTGTTGCCCAGGCTGGAGTGCAATGGCACGATCTCGGCTCACCGCAACCTTTGCCTCCCGAGTTCAAGGGATTCTCCTGCCTCAGCCTCCCAAGTAGCTGGGATTACAGGCATGTGCCACCACACCCGGCTAATTTTGTATTTTTAGTAGAGATGGGGTTTCTCCATGTTGGTCAGGCTGGTCTTGAACTCCTGACCTCAGGTGATCCACCTGCCTCGGCCTCCCAAAGCTGGGATTACAGGCGTGAGCCACCACACCCAGCCAATTACAGGAAAATTTCTTGCTTAAAAGTGAATTATTGGACTTTTCGTTTTTTACATTTAGGGTTTGATGTTTGAAAAATTGGCATACACATAACTTCAGAATTTTATCAATTATAAAAATGAGGCACACCTGTATTAGATAAGAAACTAATTATAAATCAAAAGAGTTGTTGTAGTTCAGTGTTTTCTTTTATTATTTTCAGCTGTTGACATCCAAATAAAAATAACATTAGGAAAATTACAGTAATGTTTTCTGAATCTTTTTGTATATGTCCCCACCTAGAGTTCTTCATTAAAATATGGTTACTGACATTTTATTCTAGACAATCAATTTTCAGTTTCCTAATGAAAATCAGTGGTAATATATTTCAAGCATTGCTAAATTGAGAAAAATAGTTCAGAATATTTTGATCTTCGACAGTGCTACCAGTGGACACTGTTTTGTTTTGTTTTGTTTAGGGGTATGGTGGTGTGGAATGGTAAGATCATGCTCCGCTGAAGTTTCTAACCTTAAGAATTTCATGGAATGTACTCCTCACATAAGCTGATTTTCCTTAAGCTATGAATATTTTTAGTTTTACTATCCCTTGGGGGTAATTATTTGCTACTGTGTGTAATACTTCATGACTCATTTTAACCTAAATTTACCTTCTAAATTATATAGGCTTTGTAAACCAAAATTAAGTATTATAGGATTTCCTGAAGCACCCAGTGTTTATTCTAGCTACACCTTTCCTAATTTCACAGAATTAAAAAACTTTTTATTCTTTCTCCCACTACACTGAAAAATACCTCTAGTTACTTCTAATAGAATCTTCATACCCTTATTTTAATATATTTGCTGTCATCTTTTAAATCTTGAATTTAATTAACATAGATTAGATTTACAGGATTTATTTTTGAGTAATCTAGCTATCCCATAAAGTGAGGTTCACTTTTATTTCAACTTTGCATTGCAGAAGTAAGCCACAAATCATTATTCCACCACATTCTAAGTTCTTTTCTTCCTTCTCCCAGATTTCAAGATAGTTCATACATCTTTTCCTTCTCTTGGACCTCATAATCATCTAACACATACAGTGTAAATCTTCATAATATAAAGACTTGGAAGCCCTGGCTGCAAGTACATTTATTGCAGGCAGTAGCCCATACTACAAAATTTTAATACAATCAAAAGATTTAATCAAGACTTTGGGGATCATCATAATATATTCAAGCTGAATAAAAAGTAATTATTAAAATTTTTAAATTGGATTAATTTTTGTTAAAGCTAAAAGATATCATGAAATAGCTATCACATTAACAATTCTATCTAAATGATACTTAACATAGAAAATAGAATGTGGGCTTTATTAGGAAACTAATCTTAGGTTCTTAATCCAGTGGTTGTCAGGGAGAGCACAATTGGATCTAGACTGTAAAAGATCTATTCAGTATCAGAGGGATAAATCATTATAGTTCTCAGGCTATGAATTACATTTTAAAAGATCATATACTTATTAGTTGAATGAGGAGGTGAGAAATAAGAGACTCAGTTTGCTGGGATGATGATGTTTGTTGGTTTAATCTATCTTAAACCTTTCTTTGAACATTGACTTAAACCTTAACCTCCTTTTTCTAAAAATATCAACTGGGGCCGATGCAGTGGCTCACACCTGTAATCCTAGCACTTTGGGAGGCTGAGATGGGAGGATCGCTTGAGGCCAGGAGTTCGAGGCCAGCCTGGGCAACATAGTGAGACCCCATCTCTATTTTTTAAAAGAAATAGAAAAACAATCAATTGGGAAAAATGTGTTTGAAAGAGTATATCAATAAGAATATGTCTTTTACAAAAAATTTTTTAAAAGATTAAACAGATTTTTCTCTGGCAACTTAAAAAATTAGTATTCATTAAAAATTTATTACCTCTGGGAAGAGACTTGGCCTGTGATCCCTTCTCAGAGCCCTTGTATTAGTCAGGGTTCTTCTGAGTCAAGTTGACATACAACATCAATCATCAGAGCCCACCTTTTTTTTTTGTAAGAGAAACTCACAAGATCACAGTCCTATCACTTTTTCTATGTGAGGAGAGCATTTGAGGGATGTTGGCGCATTATAATTATTCTGAATGCATACTGTTTCTTGTACCATGAATCAAAAGAAATTAATTTCCCCGGCTGGGTGCAGTGGCTCACGCCTGTAATCCCAGCACTTTGGGATGCTGAAGTGGGCAGATCACCTGAGGTCAGGAGTTCGAGACCAGCCTGACCAACATAGTGAAACCCTGTCTCTATTAAAAATACAAAATTAGCTGGGCATGGTGGCACATGCCTGTAATCCCAGCTACTTGGGAGGCTGAGGCAGGAGAATCACTTGAACCCGTGAGGCAGAGGTTGCAGTGAGGCAAGATCGTGCCATTGCACTCCAGCTTGGGCGACAAGAACGAAACTTTGTCCAAAAAAAAAAAAATTAATTAATTGCCCCTTTCAACTTCATCTCCCTGCCTTCCTTTCCCTCCAAACCCACTCTCTTTCTAGTGTGAACTGAGAAAGAAGAATGAGGCTTAAACACGATTAAATATAAGGACATATTTTGTGTTTGTGTCAATGTTTGGAATGTTTGAAATGCTTGAAACGTGTCTCACTAGGTTTAAGTCTTATTTGCTTCTTTTGATCATATGTTTACAGAATTAAACAAAAGTTATTATTCTACTTTGTTTTGTATGGTTTCCTTGCTTGAAGAGCTGAGTCATATATTAAGTAATCCCAATAGAGATAAATCTGAATCCAGAAAACAGTTAAAAAAGTCAAACATTGATTTAAATGCGGTCTTCTATTTTTAAAAGGATCCTTTTGTGTACATTTAGTTATCCAGCTTTTCTGTAGATGTATATTTATATTTGCAAACATTCCATAAAGTTTCCTGACTAATCACAAAAAATGCATTTGTGATTCAGTATAGGAGGCAATGTGTTAGTATGGGAAGAGTGGGAAGAGTGTGTATTTTGGAGATAGGACATCCTGGGTTTAAATCCTGACACCAATGTTTACCAACTCTTTAACCTTGGGTAAATACCTGAGTTAGTTTCCTAATCTGTAAAATGGGGAATAATAATACCTACCAGGCAGGCATATGGTAAGAATAAGAGATGTTACTTTTGTAAGTGCCTAGCACAGTGCACAAATACATAGTCAATGCTCAATACCTACTGTCTTTCAAAGGTAGTTATTTAGAAGGCAATAGAAAGGAGATGGTATTTTGTTTTTAACTAGTTTTTTTCCCCCATTAATATGATTCAGAGGGACTTCACCTATAACTAAAAAAAAGTTCTAAATTCCCAGCAAATAACTAATGGAATTCAGAAACCAATCTTCCTTTCATTATGTTTTCCTGAGAATCAGGGAGGAGATTCTTTTTCAGAGCCTAGAAGATGGCCAGAGATTGTGGCACCCTTTCATATGAGCTTCATCTTCTCTACAGCAATCTCTTAAATTGTAGTTATTTAAAAACTTGGGGCCTGGCACAGTTGCTCACACCTGCAATCCCAGCACTTTGGGAGGCTGAGGCAGGAGGATCACTTGAGCCCAGGAATTCAAGACCAACCTGGGCAACATAGTGAGATCCTGTCTCAAAAAGAAAAGTGGAGGGCGGGGGGGAACCTTGGAAGTTTCTGGAAGATAGGAACATTCAAATTGGCCTTAGAAGCACAGGCCTCTATTTTGGGAGTAGAAACAGACAGGTCACAAAAGAATTAAAAGCAATGTAAAATATCAGAGTTGAGAATAGATATGGAACTTACCCACAGGAGTCAGTGCTAAAAACAAAACACAAAAGAAAGATCAGTGAGGATTTTCTAACTCAAGAGAAACCCACCTTCCAATAGTATCCTTCCTAGGTGAACTTAGAAACAGGACTTGGAGGGAGCACAAAACTCTGTTTCATCCTCAGGAGTGTTGCTGGCCAATGCTCCATATCGCACTCCACACAGAGGGTTATCTTTAGGATGCCATTTAATTAATATAGGCATTTGAAATCTTGGGTAGGTAAAATCACTTCTACTGAAATTCAAACTATTGTATTTCCTGCCTTTCTTTGTTCTTTGATAAGTCTTTCATATGTCTTCTGCAAAACAGTTTTTTGCTCACTGTTCTGGTCCGTTTGAAAAATGTATATTGTTGATTAATTACCAAAATCACATCTAGTCCTGACACATATTCTTTTTGTCAATCTTAGAGGATTTTCTTTTTTAGTAAAAATTATTAGTTGCCAGATTATAGCACAGAGGAAATAGGCTCTGTTGTGATAGATTAGCTGGGAATATATGCTACCAATAATCTTTGGTAGTAAATAACTAGAATCAAACACAAGACCATTATACTTTGTTACAAAAGGAAAATAGATAAGAAGAATTAAAATTGAAATATGAGGAAATCACTTATTGAAGAAATATTGACTGCTGTAAGGTAGAGGAACTCGTAACACAAGAACATTTGGGAAAAAGAACTTAAAGGTCCTAGGCACAGAAATAGGTAAGGCAAGGAAATGATCCAAACTTACTGATTTTTCCAGAACTGTCCACTGAAAGAGATAAAGGCAAACACATCAGTAGGTACTGGGCATTCCCTTCTTCCCAGTCCCCAAACCTCTGCATTGAGTGGGATCTGTGTCATTAACAACTAAATTTCATTTATTTAAATGTGAAGAAACTTCATTTCCCTTCCCCCTTCTCTTTGCCCAGTGTAGTTTACAAAGACCTTGTGATAAGCTACTTTAAATCACCTTTACTTATCATTGATCATTAGCAATTTTGTCTAGAATGTCAAGATTACAATTTATAAAATATAGGACATATAATGGTCTTGCTTAGAAGATGTGTGCTAACATTATTTTTTGACATTGTTTGATACGAATTTTTTTTTAATATATTTTTTTGAGACAGGGTCTCAGTCTCCCAGGCTGCAGTGCAGTGGCATGAACATGGCTCACTGCAGCTTCCACTTCCGGGGTTCAAGCGATCCTCCAGTTTCAGCCTCCTGAGTAGCTGGGACTACAGGTGCGTGCTACCACACCCAGCTAATTTTTGTATTTTTTTGTAGAGACGGAGTTTCATCACGTTGCCCAGGCTGGTCTGGAACCCTGAGCTCCAGCGATCCACCTGCTTTGGCTTCTCAAAGTGCTGGGATTACAGGTGTAAGCCACCATGCCTGGCCTGGTACGAAATATTTAAGATACAGTTGTTACCAAGTACTGAAATATAGGTATATCTCTTGTGTTGATGTTACTTGATAAACCTAACATAGAAAGCACAAAATAGGCTGGCGCGGTGGCTCATGCCTGTAATCCCAGCACTTTGGAAGGCTGTGAGGCAGGCGGATGGCTTGAGCCTAGGAGTTCAAGACCAGCCTGGGCAACATAATGAGATCCCCATCTCTGCAAAAAAAAAAAAGAAAAAATTAGCTGGGTATGGTGGCAAGCACCTGTAGTCCCAGCTGCTCAGAAAGCTGAGGTGGGAGGATTGCTTAGGAAGTCAAGGCTGCAGTGGGCCATGATCACACCAGTGCACTCTAGCCTGGGTGAGTGAAACGCTGTTTTTAAAAAAAAAAAAAGCACAGAATAATAAGAAAGCATGAAACTGTAAGAAACATATACCAGGATTGTTTACCAGAGATACATATGTGGAGTTAGGGTATTTAAACCATAGAATGGGAGTTGGCAAAATACAGCCCATGGAATAAATCTAGTTTTTCCATATAAATCTAGTTTTCCAAATAAAAATAGCATCTAGGACATGCTATTTTTGCATGTCCTGTGAGGTAAGAATGGATTTTACATATTTAAATAGTTGAAATAATAATAATAATAATAATAATAATAATAATAATAATAATAATATTTTGTGGCACATGAAAATTGTATGAAATTCAAATTTCAATGTCTAAAATAGTATTTTATTGGGACATACCCATGCTCATTCTTTTATATATTGTCTATGACTGTTTTTGTGCTACAACAGCAGGGTTGAGTAGTTGTGACAGAGACTTTAAGGCTTATAAAATTTAAAATATTTGGCTGGGCATGGTGGCTTATACCTGTAATCCCAGCACTTTAGGAGGCTAAGGCAAGGGGATCGTTTGAGGCCAGGACTTTGAGACCAGCCTAGGCAACATAGCAAGACTCAGTTTCTACAAAAAATAAAAAAAAGTTAGCCAAGCATGGTGGCACACATCTGTAGTCCCAGCTACTCAGGAGGCTGAGGCAGGAGAATTGCTTGAGCCCAGGAGTGGAGGTTGTAGTGAACTATGATCACACCACTGCACTCCAGGCTAGGTGACAGAGCAAGACCCTGTCTCAGAACAAAACAAAACCAAAAACACCAAACAAACCAAAAAACACAAAAACCCAACAAACAAAAACAAACATAAAACATTAAAAACATTTGTAGAAAAAATTTGCTCACCCCAGCCCTACAAGAAACTAATGTATTAAAAATATATTAGGAACTTACTAGTGTGAACTTGAGGTATTCCTGAAAATCAAAACAAGAAAATAGGTTAATGGCAGCATTTTTGGAACAGAAGTACAGTTCTTTCCTACTCCCAATTCCCTAGTTGTTTTTTCTAGGGTACCATAAAGACTTCTAGCAGAATACAATGAAATATGATGAGACAACAGATCCCTTAGTGTGTTATAAGAACCTGACAGTTTTTACCACCTTTATGTGGTCCAACTTATTGTTGTCTCTCTAATTGAGCTCTCTGCTTTCACCCTTGCCTCCCAGTCAGTTCCCAGTACAGCAGTTAGCGGGACCCTTTTAAAGTGTCAGCAAGACTCCTGCTTAAGAGCCACCAATGGTTCCCCATCTTGGTTTAACAAAAGTCAAAATCACAACAGTGGCTTTCAAAGATGGCCCTGGAAGATCTGTCCCTCCAAATCTCTCTTATAGCTTCTTTTTATGTCACTTTTCATTCTGTTCCAGCTATATGGTACTTGCTATTTTGCTTTTCCTCAAATAGTCTGGAAATGTTCCTACCCTAGGGTGGTTTACTTGTTGTCTTCTCTGATTGAAATATTCCCCCCTCAGATATTGCCTGGCTAATTCTCTCACCTATTTCATGTTCCATCTAGTAGTTATAGCAATTGCTGAGAATGAGGCATTAAACTTTCCAACTGTAGTTGTGGGTTTTTCTGTTTCTCTTCAGTTCTAGTACGTGTTTTTTTTTTCCCAGTGTGTTTTGAAGCACTGTTGTTTGGTTCATACATATGTAGAATTTCTTTGTCTTCTTGATGCATTGATATTTTTATCATGATATAATGTCCCTCTTTTGTCCCTGGTAAATTTCTTTTTTCTTTGCATTTAGGTCCACTTTACGTGATATTAATGTAGCCACTTCTGCCTTTTTTTTGAAAAAATTAATGTTTCATGGCATATATTTTTCATTCTTTTTACTTTTATTGTTAAATTTGAGGTGACTTTCTTGTAGATAGGATATAGTTAGGTCATGTTTTTAATGTACTCTGGTAATCTTTTGAAAAAATTGGTGTATTTAGACCTACACAAAATAAATTTGTGTGATTTGCCTGATTGTTATGAGAGGCAAGTCCCAATTCTTTCAAGGAGGGGAAGTCAGAAAAGGCTTAATCTCTGCAGCACTAGTGGTCCAAGTTTAGATGTAATAAACTTTATGGAGGAAAAGGCAAAGATCAATCTTTCTTTTTTATCTTGAATTCTATTTTAGTGTTTTCTCTGTTTGCATTTTGCAGTCTGTCCCTTCTTCTACTCCCATTTGCTACATCTTCTTGTTTTTATTATTTCTACCTTTTATCTTTTGGAGTTTCATCTTGTGACCCTGTGGCTTCAGACTGTGATACAAACTTCTTAGTGTATTATTTCCATAGTCTTCCCAGCATATTTTCCCAGCATTATTTCCTCTTGCTTCTCTTTTGCAACTTAACTCTCTAACCAGAAGAACAAATTGATTTTGGTCCTTTCTATGTGGTTTCTTGTTTCTGTGGGCCTTTGACTTATTTAAAAGACAAAGACAGGAAGAAGAAAGAAAGAAAGGAAGGAAGAAGAAAGAATGAGCGAATGAACAAAAGAAAGAAAGAAAGAAAGACCCAAACTAAACCAAAATAGAAACCAAAAACAACAAAAGTGTCAGTGCAAATAAAGGAATCGAGATGCTACAAAAGACCAGAGGAAACTGAGAAAAACAGTAGGAGCTTACTGGTTGCTATTGGACCAATTGCTAAAAATAAAATAAAACAAATCAGTTTTTTTTTTAAATTATGTATTGAGTTCCTATTGAAAATCCACTTGGAACACCAGAAAACAGACCTTTGGGAAACATTAAATCTTCTAGGAATATGCTATCTCTTATTAAGTCAATTTTAACTCCACTTTAATAACTTAAATATCCAGGCCATTTTGAATGGCACGTATGATGGGTTATATGAGTGAAGGCCACTTTTTCTAATGAAATAAAATATTTTTTTAAACATTCTTAAACTAGGTCACATTCTTTCAGGAGACTGGCTAATAGTTAAAGGTTACTAATTTACGTTATCTCTTCATCGTCTTTTTTGTCTTTTCATGTTTTCTCTTCCTTTCAAATCTCTACCATTATACCAGCTCTCATTGTATTTTTTTTACAGTACAGAAAGTTTATTTGTAATTAAAATGTAGTTGAGTTTAGCACCTTTTCTTTTTCTTTTCAGTTTTTATGAGAATTTAAAACTCTTCAAGAGTTGTAATACTTATTTTAAGTTTTGCTTCTTTTACTTTTTTTCCTATTTCAGTCTCTAATCTCAAAATATCTGTTCTCTTCTTCACCGTTCGTTGTATTCTCCTTCTAGATTTCCATTACTAAGTTTACTTACTCTTTGCCTTACTGTGGCAGGGCAGGTCTCGCTAACGCAGGCCTCCATAACAACTGTTTCAGCACTGACTGAGTGGTTAAGTTAAATGTTGAAAGCTGATAGAGCCAGGCTAGAATGTAACAAGCCCACCAAGAGTTTGCCTAGGCCTTTCCTGGGCCTTGAAGCATGACAAGATTACGAAGGAATTCTTAACAGGACCCGTTTAGGATTAA
The DNA here is from genome assembly GCF_000001405.40 of Homo sapiens. NCBI lineage: Eukaryota > Metazoa > Chordata > Mammalia > Primates > Hominidae > Homo > Homo sapiens. Next base: position 3,546,652 of record NT_167245.2, read on the forward strand.
AACAAGTTTATTGGGGGGTCTGAAGAAACTCCCCAGGCCTTCACAAACAAGTTTATTGGGGGTCTTCTGAAGGAACTCCATATTTAGCAGGAGACAAGATAAGGGTAATCACCCCAGCACTTGGACCCATTTAGATTAAGTAAATTTACTGAAGCTCTAGAGGAAAGCCTTCAGGACTCACATCTTAGTCACAGATTAGAAGAAGTTAATGACTTATGTCTTTAGATGAATGCTCACTTACACGTAGACATATAGCTTAGAAGGTATATTGGCTCTGGAAAACTTTGTAATTTTCAGTTGGTCTGGCAAAAATTTCCAGGCCTTCTCTCTGTACCTACTTATATAAATAAAAACTGTCTTCTTTCTCAGTTCATCTGCATCTCGTTATTGGGCCATGAAGAAAAGCAGCCCGATTCTCCTACCTCAGCCTCCCAAGTAGCTGGGATTACAGGTGTGTGCCACCACACCCAGCTAATTTTTGTATTTTTAGTAGAGATGGGGTTTTGCCATGTTGGCCAGGCTAGTCTCGAACTCCTGACCTCAGGCAATCCTCCTGCCTTGGCCTTCCAAAGTGCTGGGATTACAGGCATGAGCCACCACGCCTGGCCAGGTCATATGTTTTTTAAAGGTCTGTATTGTCAATAAAAACTGGAGGCAAATTGGAACTGAGAAACATTTTTCTTTTCTTTTTTAAGTTGCAGTGCTTGCAAGCAAGTCCTGTCTTCAGAAGAACTGGCTCACTTAATAAGAGACATAGCAGGAGTTTAAGGGGCATAATCTATAAAGTTGGTCAGTTTGCCGATTATTCTCATTGGTGGAAAAATAATTCTCCATCATAATTATATATTGGCAAGGGTCATAACACATTTGTATGACAGTGAAACAGCAAAATAACTAACATGAACTCTTTTTTTGTTTAAAGGACCTTCACCCATTCCTGCATGTAAGTTAGGACAATTTTAGAACACTAAGATAAAATGCAAAAACAGCAATCATGGAATTTTTGAAACTAACTGTACGACTAAGGGGGAATTATGTAAACAACTAATTATGTTTTGTTAAAGATTTACGGGAGCATTGTGACCTGACCAAGGACAAAGACATTCCCAACCTCTTCTGACTCTTGCTGGCATCCAGATCTCTGTGTTCCTCAGTCATCTCTTGATTCTAACTCCTGCGCATAATTTCCCCATATCCCCCCTCCCATAGAAACCCTCCAGCCAGCCTGAAAGACATTAGAAGGGTGGTACTTTAGAATGCTGGTTCTCCATCTTCTCGGTTTGCTGACTCTCCAATATAATCTGCTTTTCATCCCACCAACCCTTGTCTCTCATGTCTGGCTTTTCAGCTGCAAGCAGCCAAACCTGGGTTTGGTTACTTACATTTATGTGTATCAATATTGTAAAAATCAGCACTAAAATTGTTTCCATTAGGAAGCCAGCAATGTAAAGCATATGAACTTAAGCCTTTATTTTAGGTTGCAGTGCTAAATGGAACTATTATTCAATTTAAGAACATATAAAGCAAGTTGTCTGTCCCTCCCTCCCTCCTTCTCTCCTTCCCTTCCTTCTGGTTTTCTTTCCTTCTTTTTTCACCTCCTGCCATCCTCAGTTTATCTCATGATACAAGGTTTTTCTGACTGTCATGTTTAATGTCAAGTGCTCAGGCAAAATAGATGATTTGGCTAGGCTAACAAAGTATTCATTTTGCAGTATTTCCATTTTTTTAGTGCATTTTCTTATGATTTTGAGGAAATTTTGCTTTCTCTCCACATTTCTATTTTGTTCCTTGTATTGTTAGTGCTTTTCCTTTTCTTTAATTTTGTTTCAAAATAATCAAAATTATTCTGTTGATTATTTTTAAATACTTTTCATTTCATTAATTTTTGCCTAATAAAAGTAGGACATTTTTATTATTGTGTCCTACTCTTGAGATTTTTCCTTTTTTAATCATCTTGAGCTCATGTTTAGTTCATCAATTTTTATTAATGAATAATTTCTATTAAAACCATTTACCATAATAATTTCTCTCTAAATGATATTTTGGTTGTATCCTAAGTGTTTTGATAAGTAATGATTTTATACTCACTTATTTCTATATATTCTGTAATTTCTCTCACAATTTTGTTTGTAACCTGTGGATTATTTGGATGTATGCTTTTTTGTTTCTAAATATGTATATGTTAATATTTTTTGTTATTTATTTCTGTTTTGTTGCCTTGTGCTCAGAAAATATGATTTATATTATGTTGAAGTGTACTTTGAAATTAGTTGAGGCTTGCTCTAGTTGAAGGAATTGGTGGTCAAGGTAATCTTTTCCATCTGTGCTTGCTTGGTGGAATGTTCAGTGTACATTACTAGATAAAGCTTTCTAAAATTATGTCAAAGCCTCTCTAGCCTTACTAATTTTTGTCTGTTTATTTATTTTATGAGAGAAATATTATTAAAATATCTTTATTTAGTTACAGATGTCTTTGCTATTTTGTCAGTTTTTGTTTTATGTATTTCAAAGGCTATGCTATAAGCTCACAACTTTCACTTATATTTTATCTGATATTTGCACAATTATATCAAGTTTTGTTTTGTTGTTAATTGCCTGGTTTTTTTTTTTTTTGAGACAGAATTTCGCTCTTGTCACTTAGGCTGGAGTGCAATGGTGCAATCTCGGCTCACTGCAACCTCTGCCTCCTAGGTTCAAGTGACTCTCCAGCCTCAGCCTCTCAAGTAGCTGGGATGACAAGCATGTGCCACCATGCCTGGCTAATTTTGTATTTTTAGTAGAGACAGGGTTTCACCATGTTGGCCAGGTGGGTCTCGAACTCCTGACCTCAAGTGATCTACCCGCTTTGGCCTCCCAAAGCGCTGGAATTACAGGCATGAGCCACTGCACCTGGCCAATTGCCTGGTATGTTTTAAAATTCCTTCATTTAAATTTTTCTGTGTGTCACCTTATTTTAGGTATATTTCTTAATAGAGTTTAGCTATTTTTCTTATTTTTTTATAGGAAAATAGAAAAATTAAAAAAATTTAATTCTTTTAATTACATCTGAGAGCTTCTAGCTTTTAATCTGGGAGTTTAATCTACTATTGTATAATATTGTGCTAAGCAACATATTTAGACTTTTTTTAACCCTCATTTAAAAAAATTTGCTTTTTCACGCCTGTAATCCCAGCACTTTGGGAGGCCGAGGCGGGCGGATCACGAGGTCAGGAGATCAAGACCATCCCGGCTAAAACGGTGAAACCCCATCTCTACTAAAAATACAAAAAATTAGCCGGGCGTAGTGGCGGGCGCCTGTAGTCCCAGCTACTTGGGAGGCTGAGGCAGGAGAATGGCGTGAACCCGGGAGGCGGAGCTTGCAGTGAGCCGAGATCCCGCCACTGCACTCCAGCCTGGGCGACAGAGCGAGACTCCGTCTCAAAAAAAAAAAAAATTTGCTTTTTATTTGCTTTCTCTTTTTCTTTTTTCTTGCTTTCTTGTGGACTAATATAGTTTTCTTTCTTCTTTTTATTTTCCCTATGGGTTCAGAAGATGTATGTCACATTTCTATTATATTAATAGTTGTCTTTTATTTTTGCCATAAATATCCAAATGTATATATTTAATAAGATGAAAAGTTAATCAGTACATCTGACCTTTTGTCAAATTATCTTAGTTCATAATCATTAGCCTTGTCTCTAAGGTTTTTTTCCCTAATGCTTTAGGTCTACTCATTTTAAAGCACACTAATATATTTCTCCTTCACTCTCTCCTTCTCCTTCTTTTCTTCCTGCCTTTTTTTTTTTTTTTTGACAGAGTCTTGCTCCTAGGCTGGAGTGCGGTGGCATGATCATGGCTTACTGCTGCTTTGACCTCCCAGGCTCGAGCAATCCTCCCACCTCAGCCTACTGAGTAGCTGTGACTACAGGCATGCACCACCACACTCACCTGATGTTTGTATTTTTTTAGAGACAGGATTTCACCATGGTGCCCAGCCTGGTCTCCAACTCCTGAGCTCAAGCAATCCACCTGCCCTGGCCTCCCAAAGTGCAGGGCTTATAGGTGTGAACCACTGTGCTCAGACTCTTTCTGCTTTTCCTTCTCCTTCTTCTCTTCCTTCTCTTTTTTTTCTTTATAGTCAACATTTTAGATTTACTGTCATGTTTTGTTGATTTGTTTTCTTACATGTTTCTTGGTTCTAACTTCTTTTTGAGTTTTTACTCAAAAGTAAACTCCCTGAAGTATGTCCCTTTGATAATTCTTTCATTGGGGACCTGTGTTTAATGAGTTTCTATGTTCTTGAATATACAAAATGACTTCATTTCAGTCTCACTCATAAATGATAATTTTGCTGATTGTATCTTATGGGTTTATAGTAATTTTCCTTCAGTCTTTTGATGATATTGTTCTGTTGTATTTTTAAAATTTTTTTATTTTTAATTTTTATGGGTATATAGTAGGTGCAAGTAGGTACATGAAATATTTTGGTACACTCATACAATGTGTAATAATGTGTAGTAATCACATCAGGGTTAACTGAATATCACCTTAAGCATTTATCATTTCTTTGTGTTACAAACTTGCAATTATATTCTTTTAATTGTTTAAAAATGTACAATAAATTTCCTTTGACTATAGTCACCCTGTTGTGCTATCAAATATTAGATCTTATCCATTCTATCTAACTATTTTTGTACCTATTAACCATTCCCAATTTTTCTCTCTCCTGACTACCCTCCCCAGGCTCTGGTAACCATCATTCTACTCTCTATCTCCATGAGTTCAATGTTTTAATTTTTAGTTCCCACAAATGAGTATGGACATGTGAAGTCTGTGGTTCTATGCCTGGCTTATTTCACTTAACATAATGACCTTCATTTCCATCTAGGTTGTTGCAAATGATAGGATCTCATTCTTGTTTGGATTTCATTCTTGTTCTGTTGTATTCTGGCACATATTATTGCTAATGAGATGTCTAGTGTTAAAATGATTTTTTGCAGGTGATCTGCTTCTCTGGTTGTCTTTATGATTTGCTTTTTAATGTCTGTTTGTCAGCTTACTACGATGAGTTTTGGCACATGTAAGTGTGTGTGTGTGTATATATCTGTCTGTGTGTTTTAAAGTTATCTAATTTCAGCTTTCAGTGGACCATTATGATCTGAGGATTTATGTCTCTTTTCTTCTGGAATGTTATTAATTATTACATTTAAAATTATTACCTGACATTTATTCTTTTAATTTTCTCTTATCAAATTCCATTACACCTGACCTCATTCTATTTACAGCTCTTCTTTTTCATATTTTCAATATCTTCTGTGTATTATTTTGAGCTGAGATTTTCAATATTTTCCATGTACTATTTTGAACTGAGATTTCCTCAGTTCTGTCTTCCAGTTTACTCTTTTAAACTGTGATTAATAATATTTAAATATTATTTACATATAGTTACATTAGAATTTATATATTATCTAATCATTGTTTCAATTCTAATAACTTTCTTATTTTCAAGGTTTCAGCTTGGTTCTTTTTTAAATCTGCCTGTTCTTTCTTCAAACTATCTCTCAAATATATATACATATATATATATATATATATTTTTTAATCTTTTTAGAAAGGATAGTCTTTCTTTTATTCCCCAATAGGTAAGCCACAACCTATCAGAACTCCAGCCTTTCGTGGCCTTTTCATGCTATACTAGCTGTCATATGCCGTATCAGCTGCCTTACTGTTTAAAATTTTATTATCTCCTTCACCTCCTCCATTTAGGCATTTCTTCCCTCCTATCTTATCAAGGTTACTTATGACATTCATTTTGCAAAATTCCTTGTCAGTTCTTACTCCAAAAATTTATTGCTTAGCTGTTTTTGATGCTGTTGTTTATTTTTTCCATATTGAAATACTATCTTCTCTTGAGTGCTGCGAGACCCCCCCTTTACTGGTTCTCCTTCTTTCTCCCTGCTCACTACTTCTCTATATGCATAGTTAGATTTTTCTCATTCTAAACTTCTAAAACTGATTAATCCTTACCCCTTCATTTTTACATATACCTTTGATTATCTAATTTAGTCCAATCGTCTTAAATGTTACCTATATGCTGATTACTGTCTAATTTATTTCCCACCCAATCTCTCCCTAAATCTTCAGACTCAAATATTTAATTGCCTTTTGATATAGAGTATATGCTTGGATGGGGGGCAGAATGTTTAGTGGGATTTTTCTTGTTACTCCCAAATTGACAAGTAGGATCACAAAGCTGAGGAAAAAGAGGTTATAACTTCCCATTACCCTCCTCAGCAAACTGAGGTGAGACAAGCCCTCAGGAGGGATTGCAGCATTGCCAACTCCATAATTAAAAGGGAAAGGATTCTTGAGGCTGTGCAGTGCAGAGGTGCTGCTTGCCGGCCTTGACATGATGGCCAAATTAGCTCTCCTATCTCAAGTGTCACCCTTTTTCCAAGACAACATAAGCAAACAACTGTAAAGGGCAGGAGATTTAAGAGTCTTTAGAGTTGTGAGTAGTTAACAAAGGAATGGTGTTGTAGGGGAGGAAGAATAGTGCTTTCTTTTTCTGAAGGCAAATGAGTAGCAATTTGAGATTTGCTTACAGTGATTGGGGGTATCTGTGAGAAAGGATGTGTGGCAACCCATCTCCTGGTTGAATAGTGGATTTGTTGATTTTTTTTGTGCCTATCTGAATGAAGGAAAATAAAATTGGAGAGAGACAGTAGTGCAGAGTGTCCTTGTTCTGTGATAAGGATTCTTGAGCCTCCTGAGGGTTCAGTGGGCAGTGCAAAATACATCCTGGCTTGAGCCTTCTTGCTAGTATGTCACTCAAGTGGGTGGCCTACTTGGTAAGGGCATCTCTGCAGTACAAGCAATGAAGTGTATTGCTCGAGAGGGAGTTGAGGGGCTCTGGAATTGGCAAGACTAGAGTCAGTACTCCCACATCAGGGACTAGGCATGGTCGAGTTCTTGTATGTTCCTCCAAAGAACTGGAATATGTATTGTGCAAGACATTTGGGTGTCTGCTCTAGATGACATCAAAGGACAGTCAGTCTCAGGTTCTCAGAGAAAAGAACCTACAACTAACAGAGGAAGGAGATTGCATGCCCCAAATCCATCCTCTCAGCCTCAACAGTGGGAATTATAACAACGGTGGGAATTATAGCAACAAGGAGAGTGGACAGGAAGGGGAAGCACATTGTATTTCTCCTCCCCATTCTGAGTCAGTGTGCCTGGGACGGGCCATTAGGAGAGGAGAGGGTTTTAAAGGGGATGGCTTAAGCATTTTAAATAATTTAGCATAACTAGAAAATTATGGGTTCTAAGACATCATTAAATGATAGGAAGGAGACACATGGCAGAGAACATGCTTGAAGCTTGCTAAGGTCAGATTATTTGATTAATTAGTCCTAAATGTTCCAGGCATCTAGAACCAAGCATACACAAAACTGAACTCACAATAGCATCCTATAAATCTGCTCTTCTCCACTACCTAAATCAATAAATAGTTTCATTTGTCAAGTTTCTTAGACCCCAAATCTAGGAGTAACCCTTGGTGTCTTCTTTTTCCCTTAAAATCACATTCAGTCGAACAGCAGGCCCTGTTGGCTTTGCCCCCAAAATAAATAAAATCTGAAGACCTTCTTCCCACTTCCACTCTGATCACTCTCTCCTTGCCACACTCACCTTTAGTTTCAGGCCTCTTAACTGGTCTTCCTACTTGCCCTCTTGAGCCCTCACTCTCACCCCAGTTAATCCTCCACAATAATAGAGTGATCTTTTAAAATTATAAAGTAGACCCTATCATTTCCCTGTTCAAGCCCTTCAGTTACTTCTCATGATGCCTAGAATGAAATCTGCAATTTTTTATTAAGGACTGCAGGGCCCGACATAATCTGGCTTTTGTCGCTCTGGCCCTACCTCCTGCTCTGCCTCCTTCTTTCTAGCCTGGCTGGCTGTTTTGCACCTCCATAGCAGGCCTGTGCATGTTGTACTTGTTCCTTTTGCCTGAAGCACACTCCCCCTTCTATACCATCTTTCTTTAGTCTGTTACTCTTCTTATTTTTCTACATGAATTTATCTGCCTGACATTTAGTATATGTTTACTTGGCATTATTTGCCTGTTTTATCTCAACATATAAACTCCTTAAGTGCAAGGACTTTGTCTTGCTCATGGCTATATTTCCAGTGCTTAGGATAATGCCTGGCCTACAATAGGCCAATATATATTTGTTGAATACATATATTTTTAAAATGCATTAATATCTTTGAAGACTTTTTCTTTTTTTTCCTTTAGTGTTTGACTTGTTCAATGCTGTTAGGTTTCTTATTTTAGTCTTCTTCAGATTGCTCTAGTTATATTTCTCTGGGTTGGAATTCTCCAATTTGTTGGGACTTGTGAGGTATCACTCACATGGTGCTGGATTTTCTCATAGATTTCATAACTTTTAGTAGTTTCTTATTCCTTGGGGGCTATCTTTCATGGATATTCTATGATATAAATACCCTGGGTTGTGGATCCCTTCTTGGTGGCTATTGTCCTAACTTCCTGGGTACACTGCCTCTGAACCAGATCTCAGCTGTTTTAACTTGGAATATTATGCACACTGCATGGGTAGCACACCTCCAGCAGGGCTCTGCACCCTGGACAGATCTAACTCTGGACCTGTGTGGGTGGCTTTGTTTTCATGCCTGGGGCAGATGGGTGAAGATATTTTGGCTTCTCCGCATGGGGAGGCAGTGTGTTTTCTGCTCCTGGCTTTACTCCAAGTGGTGGAATTCCAGTTTTCTACATGTTGTATCTTGAGGCTTTGTCCACCATCTAGGATCAGGTGTTGAAACCCTACCTTTGTTCCTGAGGCAAAGCTGCTACCTCTTTTCCTCATCCCCTCACCATTCCTCCCAAGAGCTTAACTTTAGCTTTCCTTTCTTTATATGTGTCCCTATATTCCATTTCTGCTCCTTGGAAATCACTCTTACCCTCCTTCTTTATGCTTAGGTATGACTGTGTATTTTTCATTTAAAAATATTTCCAGCCAAGACTTAGCCAGCCAAAAATGAGGTGTTATAACCCCTAGTTACTTTGGCATTCCTTTTTTCTTTCTCCCTACCCCTCGGGTATTGGATTTTTACGTTATTTCCCTGCCCATCCTCTTTGATGACTCCTCTGAAAAGGACACTATGCATTCAATTTGGGTTCTGCCTTGTAATTTCTAGCTGTGAGACCAATAATCCCTTCTCCTGAACTTTGGTGGGCCTTGGTCTCTGTTCCCAATTATATGGCCCATGTGCAAACATAGACATCTGGAATTTCCAGCTTCATTTCTGGGTCTCAACCACTGAGTATGTATTTTCATCTGTGCAGTGAGAATACTTAGCTGATCAGCCTCTTTGCTCAGGCTTCAGAAAGGTATGTGGATAGGGATTTTGGAGAGACACTCACTTATAATTCTTTGTTGACAGTTCCATTTCTCTTCACTCAAATACCAATGTCTTTGTCCTAACATTATTGAAATTAGTAAAGTGTTGTTATTATGAAAACTATATCCAGAGTGTGTTTAGAAGGAACTGGAGGAGGATATATAAGCATATTTGAAATCTGTTAGAATAACATAGATGTCTTTCATGTTTAAAAATTGGAAAATTTTACCTACTATCTGGATTAAGTGAGATGCTTTGACAACTCTAGATGTGAATTCTTGCATGAAGAGGTTGGCTGGAGCTGGGCAGCAGCTACCTTCTTCAGACTATGCGTGTCCTCCCAGTTTAACACAGTTCCCAGGAGACTCACCTCAACTCGCTCATTTACTGACCTGCCTGGGCTCTTTTGGCATCTGCGTTTTTAACCTTGACAGGAACTTTGGGTTTTAATATTAATGTGATTTAATTTCAGGATGAGGAATCTCAGCTGATATTGGGTTTGCTTAAATCATTTGTAACTGAGATATGAGAACCAGATTTGCATTTTGGAAAACTAGGACACAGTGTGAAAGGTGCTTTCACGAATTCTATATTAAATATCATCATGGTCGACGCTTGATCTGGTTTAAAAATTGAGTCACTGTTGGTATGTGTTACCTTGGAAGTTGGGTTTAGAACTAAAATAATGGGGCTGGGCGTGGTGGTTCACACCTGTAAACCCAGCACTTTGGGAGGCCAACGCGGGAGGATCACTTGAGGTCAGGAGTTCAAGAACAGCCTGGCCAAATGAGGAAACCCTGTCTCTACTAAAAATACAATAATTAGCTGGGCATGGTGGCTTGCACTTGTATTGCTAGCCACTTGGGAGGCTCAGGCAGGAGAATTGCTTGGACTCGGCAGGTGGAGGTTGCAGTGAGCCTAGATCACGCCACTGCACTCCAGCCTGTGTGACAGAGTGAGACTCTGTCTCAAAACAAAACAAAACAAAAAAACCTAAATAATGGGAAATATTACAGTTATGAATCAAAAAGTTTGTCTTGCAGTCCTAATCTGGAGGACTTTGGGTAATGTAGAAGCAAATGAATATGAGAAATATGAGTCTCAATCTTTTGGATACTTAGAAGTAGAAACATCTAACATAAATCTCCACATATGACCAGCTGAGAAATAAAGAACTTACTTGCAGTTCTCTGCGAAATTACTAAAAAATAAGCAAAAAGAAATCCATTTAATTTTTCTCAAATGGAGAAAACATAGCATTATCTAACATATTTTGTTGGAGTCTGTGAGGGGAGGACTTGTGTGGGCAAAGAAGGAAGCATTCCAAACCGCCCTATAGATTAGTTTTAGATTAGTTTTACAATGCAAAACTAGATATAAGATTAGGCAGTGATGATGTGATGAAATCAAAGGTAGGGTTTCCTTAAAGGCCCTCTTCATTTACTGGACCCAACAGCTTTGGGTATAGTCTCGGGTAGAGACTGCCATATCTTTCTGTTTCCTTTGAATAGCATTATAATGTTTGAGAGAACACTGAAAGCCTCTCTCCATTTAAACATCATTATGGATTTCATCTCTCAATAATTCTGCTTACGTGTTATTTCATAATATTGTTCAGTTTATTACTGATGAATCCTAGCTTAGTCCCTCTTTTAATTAGTGTTTAAAAAGATTCTCTGTAATATAGACCATGTAGGGTAATAAGGAAGCAAGGGAATAATGGGAACCACAAATCACTTTGACAGAAGTGAAGTGAAGGGGACCAAAGAGAACCAAAGTAGAAAAAGACATGTAATACTTACTTATAGGTGCTGCCAGCTGACCTAAAAAAATTAGATATCAGTGAAGATTTGTTTGAAAGGAGCAAGTTTCCTTCTAGGGAGAGATATTTGTGTTGGGGAGAATCTTGGTAGTCACACAGCTCTGGATGACAATGGCTAATTCTCTGTTAAAAGCTCCAATTCTTTATGATTGCATTCTTGGGTAAGTATTTGGGTCAGTTTCTTATCTCTTACAAAGGGGTTAGTGGAGTGATTCTAAGGATTAAATGGGATAATGTAATTAAAGCACCTATATAATTCTATAGGAGGTGCAAAGTACATATGTGTTTGAAATCATGTAAATGTAAGCTTCCTTCTCAGGGAGAAGCTAGATTAGCAGAGGGCAGAGGAAACTGGGAGCTTTGAGTCAGGTAGCTGCACACAGAGTTAGAAATGAGTAGGGTAGGCCAGGCGCCTTGGCTCACACCTGTAATCCCAGCACTTTGGGAGGTCGAGGCAGGCGGATCACGAGGTCAGGAGATCAAGACCATCCTGGCGAACACTGTGATGTTCTAAAAATACAAAAAAATTTCTCCTCCCTATTCTGAGTCAGTGTGCCTGAGACTGGCCACTAGGAGAGGAGAGGGTTTTAAGAGGGGTTGGCCTGAGTGTTTTTAATAATTTAACATGATTAGAAAATTATGGTATGCTACCAGGCTACAGTAAGCAAAACAGTATGGCACTAGTAGGAAATAGACACATAGATCAATGCAACAGAATAGAGAGCCCAGAAATAAGGCCACATGACTACAACTATCTGATCTTTAACAAAGCTGAGAAAAACAAGCAATGGGGAAAGGGCTTCCTATTCAATAAACGATACTGGGATAACTGGCCAGCCATATGCAGAAGATTGAAGCTGGACTCCTTCCTTACACCACATACGAAAATTAACTCAAGATGGTTTAAAGATTTAAGTGTAAAACCCAAAGCTATAAAAACCCTGGAAGACCACCTAGGCAATACCATTCTGGACATAGGAATGGGCAAAAATTTCATGATGAAGACAACAAAAGCAACTGTAACAAAAGCAAAAATTAACAGATGGGATCTAATTGAACTAAAGAGCTTCTGCCCAGCAAAAGAAACTGTCAACAGAGTAAATAGGCAACCTACAGAATGGGAGAAAGTTTTTGCAAACTATGCATCTGGCAAAGGTCTAATATCCAGCGCCTGTAAGGAACTTAAACAAATTTACAAGACAAAAACAATCCCATTAAAAAGTTGGCAAAAAAAGGGAATAGGCACTTTTCAAAAGAAGACGTACATGCAGCTCACAAACATATGAAGAAAAGCTCAACATCACTGATTGTTAGAGAAATGCAAGTCAAAACCACAATGAGATACCATCTCGCACCAGGCAGAATGGCCATTATCAAAATGTCAGAAAATAACAGATACTGGGGAGGCTGTGGAGAAAAAGGAACAGTTTTACCTTGTTGGTGGCAACGTAAATTAGTTCAACCATTGTGGGAAACAGTGTGGCAATTCCTCAAAGACCCCAAAACGGAGCTACCATTCGACCCAGCAATCCCATTTCTGGCTATATGCCCAAAGTAATAAAAATTGTTCTATCATAAAGAAACACACGTGTGTTTATTGCAGCACTATTCACAGTAACAATGACATGGAATCAACCTAAATGCCCGTCAACGATAGACTGGATAAATAAAATGTACATATACACCATGTAATACCATGCAGCCATAAAAAGGAACAAGATCATGTCCTTTGCAGGAACATGGATGGAGCTGGAGGGCGTTATCCTTAGCAAACTAATGCAGGAAGAGAGAACCAAATACCACATGTTCTCACTTACAAATGGGAGATAAATGATGAGAACACATGGACACAGAAGGAAACAACAGGCACTGGGGCTTATTGAAGGGTGGAGGGTGAGAGGACGTAGACAGTCAGGAAAAATAACTAAGGGGTTCTAGGCTTAATACCTGGGTGATGAAATAATCTGTACAACAAACCTGCATGACACAAGTTTACCTATATAACAAACTGCACATGTATCCCTGAACTTAAAACTTAAATAAAAATAAAGAAAGCAAGTTGATACTACTTATCATAATATTTCCTTACAAGTAAATAAAGGAAAGCTAAAAAAAGCCAACCAAAGACATAATGAAATATTATTTGGCCATAAAAAGAACTGAAGTACTGCTGCATATTACCATGTGGATGAACCTGGTGAACCTTATGCTAAATGGAAGAAGCCAGGCACAAAAGACCTCCTATTGTTTGATTCCATTGATATGAAATGTCCAGAACAGCTGAATCTATAGAGACAGAAAGAAGATTAGTGGTTGCCTGGGGCTATGGTGTGGAGAGGGTTTTGGGTTGGGGGATAGTGGGAAGTGATTGCTAAACAGAGTTTTTCTGGGGGGTGATGAGAATGTTCTAAAATTCATTGTGGTGATGGTTGCACAACCCAGTGAATATACTAAAAAGCATTAAATTCCACACTTTAAATGAGTGAATTGTGTCATATGTGAATATCATCTCAATAAAGCTGTTATTTACAAAGATAAAAAAGATAAAATTATGGGTTCTAATGCATCATTAAGGGACAGAGAGGAGATATTTTCCAGAAAACATGCTTGAAGCCTGCTAAGGTCAGATTATTTAATTAATTAGTCCTAAATATCCCAGGCATCTAGAACCTAACATATGCAAAACTGAACTCACAATAGCATCCTATAAATCTGCTCTTCTCCGCTACCTAAATGAATAAATAGTCTCATTCGTCAAGTTTCTTAGACCCCAAATCTAGGAGTAACCCTTGGTGTCTTCTTTTTCCCTTAAAATCACATTCAGTCGAACAGCAGGCCCTGTTGGCTTTGCCCCCAAAATAAATAAAATCTGAAGACCTTCTTCCCACTTCCACTCTGATCACTCTCTCCTTGCCACACTCACCTTAATTTCAGGCCTCTTAACTGGTCTTCCTACTTGCCCTCTTGAGCCCTCACTCTCACCCCAGTTAATCCTCCACAATAATAGAGTGATCTTTTAAAATTATAAAGTGGGCCCTATCATTTCCCTGTTCAAGCCCTTCAGTTGCCTCTCATGACACCTAGAATGAAATCTGCAATTTTTTATTAAGGACTGCAGGGCCCGACATAATCTGGCTCTTGTCGCTCTGGCCCTACCTCCTGCTCTGCCTCCTTCTTTCTAGCCTGGCTGGCTGTTTTGCACCTCCATAGAAGGCCTGTGCATGTTGTACTTGTTCCTTTTGCCTGAAGCACACTCCCCCTTCTATACCATCTTTCTTTAGTCTGTTACTCTTCTTATTTTTCTACATGAATTTATCTGCCTGACATTTAGTATATGTTTACTTGGCATTATTTGCCTGTTTTATCTCAACATATAAACTCCTTAAGTGCAAGGACTTTGTCTTGCTCATGGCTATATTTTCAGTGCTTAGGATAATGCCTGGCCTACAATAGGCCAATATATATTTGTTGAATACATATATTTTTAAAATGCATTAATATCTTTGAAGACTTTTTCTTTTTTTTCCTTTAGTGTTTGACTTGTTCAGTGCTGTTAGGTTCCCTATTTTAGTCTTCTTCAGATTGCTCTAGTTATATTTCTCTGGGTTGGAATTCTCCAATTTGTTGGGGCTTGTGAGGTATCACTCACCACTCACATGGTGCTGGATTTTCTCATAGATTTCATAACTTTTAGTAGTTTCTTATTCCTTGGGGGCTATCTTTCATGGATATTCTATGATATAAATACCCTGGGTTGTGGCTCTCTTCTTGGTGGCTATTGTCCTAACTTCCTGGGTACACTGCCACTTAACCAGATCTCAGCTGTTTTGACTTGGAATATTATGCACATTGCATGGGTAGCACACCTCCAGCAGGGCTCTGCACCCTGGACAGATCTAACTCTGGACCTGTGTGGGTGGCTCTGTTTTCATGCCTGGGGCAGATGGGTGAAGATATTTTGGCTTCTGTGCATGGGGAGGCAGTATATTTTCTGCTACTGGCTTTACTCAGAGGGGCCTAATTTCAGTTTTCCGCATGTTGTATCTTGAGGCTTTTGCTGTCATTTGGGAGCAGATGTTGAAACCCTACCTTTGTTCCTGAGGCAAAGCTGTCATCTCTATTTTTTCATCCCCTCACTGTTCCCACCAAGAGCTTAACTTTAGCTTCTTCTTGCAATGTGTTCCTATATTCAATTTCTGCTCCTTGGAAATCTTACCCACCTTTTTTATGCTTAAGCTTGGCTGTATATTTTTCATTTATAGATATTGCCAGGTAACACTTTTTAAACTTTTATTTTAAATTCAGGGACACATGTGCAAGGTTGTTATATAGGTAAACTTGTGTCATGGGGGTTTGTTGTACAGATTATTTTTCTACCCAGATATTAAATCTAGTTATTTTTCCTGATCCTCTCCCGCTCCCACCCTCCACCCTCTGACAGGCCCCAGTGTCTATTTTTCCCCTCTGTGTGTCCATGTGTTCTCATCATTTAGCTCCCGTTTATAAATAAGAACATGTGGTATCTGGTTTTCTGTTCCTGCATTAGTTTGCTAGGGGTAATGGCCTCTAGATCCATCCGTGTTCCAGCAAAGGACATGATCTCATTCTTTTTTTGGCTGCGTAGTATTCCATGGTGTATATGTATCACATTTTCTTTATTCAGTCTACCATTGATGGGCATTTAGGTTGATTCCATGTATTTGCTATTGTGAATAGTTCTGTGTTTAACATAACTGTGCATGTGTCTTTATGATAGAATGGTTTATATTCCTTTGAGTCTATACCCAGTAATGGGATTGGCCAGCCAACACTTAGCTATCCAAAAAGCAGGTGGTATAATCCCTAGTTACTTTTGCGTGCTTTTTTTCATCCCCTCTACTAGGATGATATATAGGATCCAAGACCCTATATATCTATTGGGTCTTGGATTTTTACATCTTTTTCCTGCCCATACTCTCTGATGACTTCTCTGAAAAGGACACTATGCCTTCAATTTGGATTTTGGCTTGTAATTTCTAGCTGTGAGACCAGTAATCCCTTCTCCTGACCTCAGGTGGGCATTGGTCCCTGTGCCCAATTATAGGGCCTATTCCCAAACATGGGCATATGGATTTTGCAGCCTCATCTCTGGGTCGGAACCATTGTCTCTGTATTTTTATCTGTGCCATGAGAATACTTAGCCGATCAGCCTCTTTGCTCAGGCTTCAGAAAGATGTGTGGATGAGGACTTTGGAGAGACACTGGCTAATTCTGTGTTAATAGCTCCAATTCTCCTCTCTCAAATACCAATGCCTTTGTCCTAACATTATTGAAATGAGTAAAATGTTATTATGAAAACTGTATCCAGAGTGTGTTTAGATGGAACTAGAGGGGAGTATGTAAGTATGTTTGCAATCTGTTAGAGTAACCCAGATGTCTGTCATGTTTAAAACTTGGAAAATTTTACCTACTATCTGGATTAAGTGAGATGCTTTGGCAACTCTGAATCTGAATTCTTGCATGAAGAGGTTGGCTGGAGCAGGCAGCAGCTACCCTCTTCAGACTATATGTGTCCTCCCAGTTTTACACAGTTCCCAGGAGATTCACCTCATCTCACTCATTTACTGACCTGCCTGGGCTCTTTTGGCATCTGCATTTTTAACCTTGACAGGAACTTTGGTTTTTAATATTAGTGTGATTTAATTTCAGGCTGAGGAATCCCAGCGATGTTAGGTTTGCTTAAATCATTTGTAACTGAGATATGAGAACCAAATTTGCATTTTGGAAAGGTAGGACATAGTGTGAAAGGCGGTTTCACGAATTCTATATTAAATATCATCATTGTTAGTGCTTGACCTGGTTTAAATATTGAGTCACTGTTGGTATGTGTTACCTTGGAAGCTGAGTTTAGAACTAAAATAATGGGAAATACTACAGTTACGAATCAAAAAGGTTGACTTGCAGTCCTAATCTTGAAGACTTTGGGTAATGTAGAAGCAAATGAATATGAGAAATATGAGGCACTTAGAAATAGAAACAACTAAGATAAGAAAAGTCCCCACATATGACCAGCTGAGAAGTAGAGTACTTACTTGCGGTTCTCTGTGAAATTACTGAAAAATAAGCAAACAGAAATCCATTTAATTTTTCTCAAATAGAAAACACATAGTATTATCTAATATATTTTGCTGGAGTCTGTGAGGGGAGGACTTGGGTGGGCAGTGAAGGAGGTATTCCAAACCACCCTATAGATTATTTGGTTTTAGATTAGTTTTATAATGCAAAACTAGATGTAAGATTTAGCAGTGATGATGTAATGACGAAGTCAAAGGTAGAGTTTCCTTAAAGGCCCTCTCCACTTATTGGACCTGAACAGCTTTGGGCATAGTGTTGGGAAAAGACCACTGGATCCTTGCACTATAATGTTTGAAAGAACACTGAAGGTTTCTCTCCATTTAGACATCATTTTGGATTTCATCTCTCTCTCTCTTTCTCTCTCCACCCCCCTGAAAATTCCTCCTACTTGTTATTTCATAGTATTGTTCAGTTTATTGTTGATGAATGCTAGCTTAGTCCCACTTTTAATTAGTATTTTAAAAAAATTATAGGGCAAGCAGGGTAATAAGGAAGCAAGAGAAGAATGGGAAACTCAAATCACTTTGACAGAAGTGAAATGAAGGGGACCATAGAGAACCAAAGAAGAAAAAGAGATGTTATACTTACTTATGGGTGCCATGGGTGGACCTAAAAACCAAATTAGATATTGGTGAAGATTTCTTTGAAAGAAACAAGGTTCCCTCTAGGGAGGTATATTTGTGTAGGGGAGAAACTTGGACACCTTTCTGGGTCTAAATTATGATTCTATGACTATGTATTCTTGAGTAAGTATTTGGCTCAGTTTCTTATCTCTTACAAAGGGATTGGTGGAATTATTCTAAGGATTAAATGAGGTAATGTAATTAAAGCACTTAAATAGTTCTAGAGGAGATACAAAGTAAATATATGTTTGAAATTATGTAAATATAACTTCTTTCTCAGGGAGAAGCTGGATGAGCAGAAGGCAGAGGAAACTGGAAGCTTTGAGTCAGGTAGCTGCACACAGAGTTAGAAATGAGCAGGGTAGAGACAGGTCTCTAAGCCTTGCAGGGAACAACAAGAACAACAACAGAAAAGAGTAGAAAAAGAAATGGAACTTACCGCGGGGTGCTGAAGGTGGACCAGCTGAAAAACAGAGAGGTATCTTAGCAACTGTTTTTTCTCCCATGATATTTTCCTTTCTATGTAGAGAGTTTCTTCTTGGTAGGTCATTATAACAATAGGGAAAACTTTCCCTTTGGTATTCATTTATTTTTAATATGAATCAGCAGAATGTGAACTTTCAAAAAATCATTAATAACTTCATGGAATTTTGATGATAGGAAAGTAAGTGGTTAAAGTAGTATGCACCCCAAGCCTGGAAATCTTAGCTGTACTAGGGAAAGGAGAGATTCCAGAATCCTACGGTGGTGAAAACATGGACATACTGATGGCAAGTGAAATGAATCCAGCTTGCAACTAGACCAGAAACAATTATCTCCTTTTTCTTTCCCCATTGCTCAAATTGTCTTTCAGTTTGTTAAGTCCCTTGTAATATATCATTTTGACCTGCTGATAAACTTTCTCCCCTGCCCTTTATTTTTTAATAAAATAGTAAGTTTGATTTTTTCCATAGAGTTATTTAAAAGGTGAGAGAATGATGTGTCACATGAAAGCAAAACACGGAGGAAATAACAACTTAAAGTTGTTATTTAAAGTTTAGGCTTAAATCCTCTAAAGTCTCTAAAAGGTGATACAAATTTTTCTTAGATGTTTTGGAATTTAAATGTGGAAAAAAGAGACCAGATATGGCAGGAGGTTCAAATGAAAAAGGGTTACAGAAACTTCTTATCTACTCCTTTCTCTCCTACCATTTTTTCCCTTTTTAAGGTAGTCTCTTGTTGATGGGCTTTGAAATTTTGTAAAATTTTTTTCTCTGCTCTGACTTATCTCTTCCCTTTTTGCAGTGACTGGTAACTGCTTGAAATCCTGCAGGGGATTGTAAATTGATAGTCTTAAAACTTTCCAGTACATCATGAATAATGCAGAGAGGTTTTGATAATGAGACAGCAAGAGGCCAAGATATATCTCAAGCCCTTTGTATCCCAATATGGGCAGATAAAGACTCTTGGACTCCACTAGAGACCAACTGAGTCCTAAAGGAGAGAATTCAATGAACACATAGACTTACTGATTGTGTGAGGATGCGATCTGACTGAAAAACAAGCAAAGATACTTTTTGTTACCCCTTTCTTGTTTCTTTTCCTACTCATTTTTTTTTCTATTGGTAAATTTACTAGTGATATACTTGCTTGAACATTTTTTTTTTTAATCAAAGGCACTAGAAATTTCCAGAAAACTAATTATCAGCTGGTTGAATTCTGGATAATGGAAAAACAAAAGGCTGAGAAAATAGAACTTCAAGTTCCATGTTGCAACTCAAGTTCCAATAGACATCAGTGGACTTTGATAAGTGCACCACAGAGAAACAAATAAATAACTGACTAATTGCCTGTATAGATGACTTATCTAGAAAGCAGAAATGGATCTATATCATTTTTCTGTCATTTTTTTTCCTTCTGCATGGAAAGTTCCTAACATTCTTTAGAGTCATGTAAAAACTTTTTTCTCAGGTCTTTATTTTTTATGCGAGTCAGTGAATGTTCTAGAAACTTATTAATAATTTATTTATGCCTTTCTGCCCATGGATGCCACGGAAGAAGCATCATTAAAGTCTCTCTTCTCCTGGCCGTCTTATCTAAGTCAGAGTCTCCTAAAGAGCCAGAACAACTGAGGAAGCTCTTCATTGGAGGGTTGAGCTTTGAAACAACTGATGAGAGCCTGAGGAGCCATTTTGAGCAGTGAGGGACACTCCCGGACAGTGTGGTCATGAGAGATCCAAACCCAAGCACTCCAGGGGCTTTGGATTTTTCACATATGCCACTGTGGAGGAGGTGGATGCAGCCGTGAATGCAAGGCCACACAAGGTGGATGGAAGAGCTGTGGAACCAAACAGAGCTGTCTCAAGAGAAGATTCTCAAATACCAGGTGCCCACTTAACTGTGAAAAAGATATATGCTGGTGGCATTAAAGAAGACACTGAAGAAATCACCTAAGAAATTATTTTGAGTAGTATGGAAAAATTGAAGTGATTGAAAACATGACTGACCGAGGCAGTTGCAAGAAAAGGGGATTTGCCTTTGTAACCTTTGATGACCATGACTCCGTGGATAAGACTGTCATTCAGAAATACCACAGTGTGAATGGACACAACTGTGAAGTTAGGAAAGCCTGTCAAAGCAAGAGATGGCTAGTGCTCCATCCAGCCGAAGAGGTCGAAGTGGTTCTGGAAACTTAGGTGGTGGTCATGGAGGTGGTTTCGGTGGGAATGACAACTTTGATCATGGAGGAAACTTCAGTGGTTGTGGTGGCTTTGGTGGCAGCTGTGGTGGTGGTGGATATGGTGGCAGTGAGGATGGCTATAATGGATTTGGTAATGATGGGAGCAATTTTGGAGGTGGTGGAAGCTACAATGATTTTGGCAATTACAACAATCAGTCTTCAAATTTTGGACCCATGAAGGGAGGAAACTTTGGAGGCAGAAGCTGTGGCCTCTATGGTGGTGGAGGCCAATACTTTGCCAAACCATGAAACCAAAGTGGCTATTGTGGTTCCAGTAGCAGCAGTAGCTATGGCAGTCGCAGAAGATTTTAATTAGGAAACAAAGCTTAGCAGGAGAGGAGAGCCAGAGAAGTGACAGGGAAGCTACAGGTTATAACAGATTTGTGAACTCAGCCAAGCACAGTGGTGGCAGGGCCTAGCTGGTACAAAGAAGACATGTTTTAGACAAATACTCATGTGTATGGGCAAAAAACTCGAGGACTGTATTTGTGACTAATTGTATAACAGGTTATTTTAGTTTCTGTTCTGTGGAAAGTGTAAAGCATTCCGACAAAGGGTTTTAATGTAGATTTTTTTTTGCACCCATGCTGTTTATTGCTAAATGTAATAGTCTGATCGTGACACTGAAAAAAATATATATTTGTGTTCTGAGTAATGGAAAAATAAGGGACCAAGGAAATTGGAACATTATCATATCACAATGTGGATGCATACATTTTGGCTTAAGATATGTTAGACACTGCTGGAGATAATTGAGTTTCACTCATGAAGGGAAATGGTCAAACTTACAAGAGGATCCTGTAGCTGAAAAACAAAGATAAATCAACGTGTACAGCCTGCTGAAAGAGGAGCTAGTTTTCGTACTACTTTCCTGAAAGGAAATATCAGAAATGGCAATGGAAGAATCATCCTTCTTAGGGCAGGGGCATAGAGCGCTGTGCTGGGGAATATACCTGCCATCATGCCTTGTGGGGATTCTGCCTTCTGCTTAGTATAGGAGGCTGCAGGAAAGGGAGATGATTGATCTCTTCCCTTTTTGCAGTGAGTGGTTACTGCTGGAAATCCTGCAGGGGATTGGTAATTTCTTTAAACTGTGCTGCCTTTACCTTTCTTCTCCCTATTTCTGCCATCCTGTGAAAGCTTTCATTTATTCATACAAATATCCTTCCCTTCCCTTGTTGACAAGTCACTATAAACTTTGGGTAGTTTCCGAACTTTATCTCTCTATTTTGGGTTTGGTATTCTCCTTTATTCATTCCTTATAGGAGTGGAGCAGCAGCTAAATAGAGGAATAAGCAAAAGAAATGAAGAAATGTGAGTTTCTACACACACAAGACAGAAATGAGCAGAGAGGAAAAGTATGCCAGGCCCTATAGGAAGCCAAAGGCAGCTATCATACAATAGACATGGAACTTAACCAGTCATTTCTGAAGTTTCATCTGGTGGTAAAAAACGGAAGGAACACAAAATGGAGAAATCAACATGTGTAGAACCAAGTGAATTCAGTTCTCCCTTGATAGGCTTAAAGAGGGTAACTGCAGAGAGGATATGGGGGGCCCTAAAATCTGACAGCTCAGTGCATGTCCGGCCTTACGTGCCTTACTTTGTGCTTTGTAGCCTCAGACCTGTTTCTGCTGGTCTGAGGCAGGAGATTGGCTATAAAGTGGTAAAGTGAGGCTTTGTTCTTCCTTCTCATTTCATTTAGGGACAGTAGATGCTTGAAACACTTCTAGAGGTTCATAATGTCTTAAACTTATATGTACTTTTGTCAGTCTCATTTTCTTTTTCTTTTTTTTTTTTTCTTTTTGAGACAGAGTCTTGCTCTGTTGCCCAGGCTGGAGTGCAGTGGCATGACCTCAGCTCACTGCAACCTCTGCCTCCCAGGTTCAAGCGATTACAGGTACCTGCCACGAAGTCTGGCTCATTTTTGTAGGTTTTTTTTTTTGAGACGGAGTCTTGCTCTGTCACCCAGGCTGGAGTGCGGTGGCGTGATCTCGGCTTACTGCAAGCTCTGGCTCCTGGGTTCATGCCATTCTCCTGCCTCAGCCTCCCAAGTACCTGGAACTACAGGCACCCGCCACCATGCCCGACTTATTATTATTTTTTTTTTTTTGTATTTTTAGTAGAGACAGGGTTTCACTGTGTTAGCCAGGATGGTCTCCATCTCCTGACTTCGTGATCTGCCCACCTTGGCCTCCCAAAGTGCTGGATTACAGGCGTGAGCCACCAGTGTGCCAGGCCTAATTTTTGTATTTTTAATAGAGGCGCGGTTTCATCATGTTGGCCAGGCTGGTCTTGAACTACTGACCTTAAGTGATCTGGCCCACGGGGCCTCCCAGAGTGCTGGGATTATAGGCGTGAGCCACTGCGCCCGGCCTCATTTTTTTTTGTGTGTGTTTTTGAGACAGAGTCTCGCTCTGTCGCCCAGGCTGAAGGGCAGTGACACGATCTCGGCTCACTGCAACCTCCACCTCCCGGGTTCAAGCGATTCTCCTGCCTCTGCCTCCTGAGTAGCTGAGATTACAGGCGTGCACCACCACGCCCAGCTAACTTTTGTATTTTTTTTTTTTAGACAGAGTCTCACTCTGTCACCCAGGCTGGAGTGCAGTGGTGAGATCTCGGCTCACTGCAATCTCCACCTCCCAAGTTCAAGTGATTCTCCTGCCTCAGCCTCCCAAGTAGCTGGGACTACAGGCATGCGCTACCATGCCTGGCCAATTTTTTGTATTTTTAGTAGAGACGAAGTTTCACCATGTTGGCCAGGCTGGTCTTGAACTTCTGACCTCAAGTGATCCACCCACCTTGGCCTCCCAAAGTGCTAGGATTACAGGCATGAGCCACCTTGCCTGGCCAAATTTTTGTATTTTTAGTAGAGACGGGGTTTCACCATGTTTGTCAGGCTGGTCTCGAACTGCTGACCTCGTGATCCACCTGCCTCGGGCTCCCAAAGTGCTGAGATTACAGGCATGAGCCACCATGCCTGGCCCTGGCCTCATTTTCTTTAGTCACTCTTGTTCACTAACCTTTTAATTAATTAATTATATTTAAGAGGTACAAGTACAGATTTCTTATGTCATATATGGCATAGTGGTGAAGTCTGGGCTTTTAGTGTACCCATTACCCAAATAGTGAATATTCCACCCAATAATTTTTATTGACTTGAAAAGCTTTCTTCCTACTCTTCTTTACTAGGGCTGTTGCGAGCCACTAATTTTTGTTAAAGTCATTTAAATTTTAATCAGTTCATTTTGCACTTTCTCCAAATCGCTTATAACTTAGGGGAAAGCTAGAAAGGAATAAAATAGCAATATATTTTTCATTTATACACTATCATATTTTTAAATTGTTTACACATAAGGGAGAGGGAGTCAAGCAGGGGAGAAAAGGGAAAGGGAATTCATGTATCCATGTAGATTCTCTGGCACATGGTGGCTATTAGGGAACTGTGGACCAGATGTGACCCTTCCTTTAGCCCCAGTGAGATCCTCTGAGGTGAGCTGGCTTATGTTTATCCTCCCTGTAATAATTATGAGAACTTCCAAGGCTATAAGTCTTGGCAATCTGTGAATACTGAGAAAAGCAGTCTTGATTCAGGGGAATAGTCAATAACAAATGGCTCTTATTCATTCACAAAAAGGATAGTTAGAACCAGAATTCAGGGCAGTAAATATCCAGTTTTAATGGTCGTAGTGTGGTTGTGTGGGATGCTGCCTGCCCTCTACACATTTTGGGTTTGTTTTCCCAAGTTATCTTATAGGACTGTAAACTCCATGGCGTCAGTGACCAACCATATCTTTCTCTCCCTTATTCATGACTTTATCCTCAGTGCTCAGCTTAGTATCAGATACATGGTAGGAGCTCAGCTAGATGAAGGAATGTTTGTTTGAATATATGTGACTTGCCCTCTGATAATTCTTCCTGCTTGACTTAAACTTTCTAATGCTATCCCTTAATTTCTAGATTCAGAATTTCCCGTGTCCTGGGGTTGGTTCGATGCCCTAGATTTTAACACCAGTTTCTCCCTAGCTCGTCACAATATGAACTTTCACTTTATTCTCTTCCATATGTGATGCTTCTGCCAGTTCCTGTAAATTACAGCCCAATTACTGTTATATCCTGTTCCATGAGGTGCTCTGTCCTATCTTTCTTTTCCTCTCTCTTTGTCGTGCGTGTGTGTGCGCGCGCGCACGTGTGTTGGGGATGTTTGGAGATAGTGAGCCGGATAGGACATGAGGAAAGAGAAAGGCCTTTGGAGAGAAGACTGGAGAACTCAGGTTAGACTAGACCCTGCATAGTATTTCCTGTTAAATTTTGTTGTCTTTTCTCCCTTTTGTATTTATTCTTAAAATTTGATTTTCTTTTCTCATTTCCTCCTCATTGTCTCCTCCATTATCTTTGAGTAGGCCCTTTAGAAACTACAAAGCACTTCAGAACTGGAAAGCTGCCCTTATTATTCTCTCTCTGCTACTTTAGAAAATTCTTGTATATTGTTATAGAAGACATTATGACTATTTCTGGGGACATTTTCTTACTCTTTTTCTTTTAAAAAAAATAGCCCTGGAGAATTCTCAGTAGGTTGAAATCAGGAAGCATAAAAACATGTGTAAAATAACTGCTCTTATGGCAGTGAGACACATCTAGGGCATTTGAGACAGGGAACAGGCCCTCTAGACACTGTAGAAGATCAAGGAACCTGGAGGGAGAAGGATAGATAAGGTACTTACCATTGGATCCAGGATATTGTACTAAAAAATAGAAACAAACAAATTAAACACACACACACACACACACACACACACACACACACACTTCTATTTTTTGAGACAGAGTCTCTCACTCTTTCGCCCAGGCTGGAGTGTGGTAGGGTGATCTTGGCTCACTGCAACCTCCACCTTCTGGGTTCAAGGGATTCTCGTGCCTCAGCCTCCTGAGTAGCAGGGATTACAGGTGCCCGCCACCATGCCTGGCTATTTTTTGTATTTTTAGTAGAGATGGGGTTTCACCATGTTGGCCAGGCTGGTCTCGAACTCCTGACCTCAGGTGATCCTTGGCCTCCCAAAGTGCTGGGATTACAGGTGTGAACCACTGCGCCTGGCCCCAAAACACCTCTATTAGTGATATTTTCCAAAGGCAAGCAGTGAAAATGATTTTCTCAGGAATTACTAAATCTAAGTATTCAGGATTAAATATTTTTCACTGCACTGCTGCTGTACTCTAGCCTCTCCATAAGAACCAGATCTTCTTTTAGGAGATTATTAACCCTGTTTTAGCATAACCACTTCATTCTTGCTTTTCATTATAGGTGTTGGAGATGAGATCCTTAATTGTATTCCTTTCCATATTCCCCCAGTGTTTTTCCTCAGATCACTCTGTTTCACTCTCAGCTATCTTTATGTTCTTGTTCATTTCTTATATTCTTTTCCAGATTCGATTACACCTTTGCCTTAGGAAGTTATTCTAATGATTACTGACAAGCCACTATAATCATTATTAGAACAATGCCTATCTATTATGAATTTTAAGGTAATGGAATTTCCATTTTCTAAAATATAATTGGTTGCCCAGAGAGATGGTTAGTGTTAATCCAAACTGCACCATTTTGTAAGCCTCCAGCAATTTGAAGACCTTGGTAAAAGTGAAACATTCCACGGGGGTTCGGGCTGTGAGAAACATTCTGCCTAACCACCTGAACACAAGGTGGACAAAGGGCCAACTAAAGAAACATCCCTGTCATATTCAGCTGGGAGAAAGTGCAAGGAACACTACATTCTGCAGGAACAAGGGCCAGAACCCCCTCATCATGGGAACATCTTATCAATATCCTGCCGGCCAGCAAGCCATACTACCCAGACCCCTCCCGCCTATACCTATAAGTACCCCCGCCTGTAAGCAGCAGTGGGCACTGGCATTAGGCTGGTTCCCCACTTCTGTAGGTCTTATGCTGGACATAAAGCCTACATTTGCTGTACAGCCGCCACTCTCTCTGTGTCTTTTCTTTAACCCTCGCCTTCCCTCCAAAACCTAACAGTTACGATATGGGGAAATGAAAGTCTAAGAAATATGATTTTCAGCTTCTTTAACCCAGATACTTAAACAGTTGGAGCCAGTCTCCTTCAGACATAGTAAGAAGCCAGTAGAGATAAGTTGATATATACAGGCAGCTTACCAATAGGTCCTAGAGTTTGCACTAAAAAGAAATTCAAATTGGCATATTAGTACAGTTATTTGGAGAGTGTATTTTTCACTAATTTTATCCTAGAAGTGAGGCTTTGAGAGGTAGAGCAGGGGAGAGGAAGTGATATCAGTTATGAGATCATTAGGGAGACTTAATCCAACTATATTAACTATAGAAAAAAGGAAAAAGGATATTTAGCATTTACTGCAATATTTCAGCCCAAGGTGAAGGTTTTTATAGGATCCTTGCCAACCTAAGGGATACTAGGGAAAGGCAAAACTTTGTTATTAGGTATTAACATTACTGATGGTAGGGAAAGGTGAAACACTTCCCGTCAGTAAGAGTAGAAGATATTTCTTTCTCAAGGGACTGTTCTTTCACTAAAATCTTTATTTCTGATCAACTAATATGTTCCAGAGGTAGACATTAGAATAGGAGGTAAGAATCTAGTTTCTTCTTCTCACAGCTTCCAGCTTATTGGAGAGTGATAGAGCAGTGACTGCTGCTTTGATTAGCTTTAGAGTCTGTGAGCAAAGAGTCAACAAAACCTTCTGTTTTTTTTTGTTTTGTTTTGTTTTGTTTTTTGAGATAAGGTCTCACTCTGTCACCCAGGCTGGAATGCAGTGGTGCAATCCTAGCTCACTACAGTCTCGACCTCCTGGGCTCAAGTGATCCTCCCACCTCAGCCTCTTGAGTAGCTAGGACTACAGCTGCATGCCACTATTCCTGGCTAATTAAAAAAATTTTTGTAGAGATGGGGTCTTGCTCTGTTGTTGCTCAGGCTGATCTTGAACTCCTGGTCTCAAGTGATCCTCCTGTCTTAGCCTCCCAAAGTGCAGAAATTACAGGTGTGAGCCCATGCCTGGCCAAAACCTTCAGTTTTTAATGAGAATTTGGCCTTCAGTTGATTTTCTAGCTCTGATCGCCTGGTGACCTGATAAATATCGAAAGCCTGTTATGTTTTTTTTGTTGTTGTTTTTTTTTTAGACGGAGTCTTACTCTGTCGCCCAGGCTGGAATGCAGTGGCATGATCTCGGCTCACTGCAACCTCTGCCTCCTGGGTTCAAGCGATTCTCCTGCCTTAGCCTCCTGAGTAGCTGGGACTGCAGGCGCACGACACCACACCCAGCTAATTTTTGTATTTTTTTAAGTAGAGATGGGGTTTCACCATATTGGCCAGGCTGGTCTCAAACTTCTGACCTTGTGATCCCCTGGTCTTAGCCTCCCAAAGTGCTGGGATTACTGCACCCAGCCGAAAGCCTGTTATGTTATTTAGCAACACTGCTTACATAAGAATGATCCTTGATG
The DNA here is from genome assembly GCF_000001405.40 of Homo sapiens. Taxonomy (NCBI): domain Eukaryota; kingdom Metazoa; phylum Chordata; class Mammalia; order Primates; family Hominidae; genus Homo; species Homo sapiens. The sequence goes on from NT_167245.2 coordinate 3,574,815, forward strand.
TTAGACTGCATCTGAACTGGGAGAATTGTAAATATGTATTAAGAAGCCATAACTTTGGGCTTCCCTGAGTGTAGTGACCCATGTATTTGGTCATATTCCTTACGGGATCCCTGCAGGTAATGTGTATGGGGTTCTTATAGGAGATTTTAGTTCCTGGTGGATCTGTGGGGTTTCTAAGCTAGGTCAGCTCCCAACTCAACTGACAGAAGGCCAAACAGAATAGGTCCTAGGTGGCTATGTGGACACCTGCATAGATCATGGCGAGTACTACTCCCACAGCAGAGGGATAGCTGTTAATGCCCTTGCTGGCAAACTGTGCTTCCTCCCTTAGGTCCTACTGAGTAGACTGTTCCCAGATGAGAGCTATGGTAATCTTCTAAGTCTGCGTGGTTAGTTGAATCTAAAAAGACCATATCTTCACCCAGTGGGCATTGCAGTTAATAATCCTTCACTTCAGTGTCACTCAGAATGAGAAATATCCACATTTTGATCAATAATCCTCGAACTTTTAACTCTGAATTTTTTTTTTCCTGTGTAAAACACCTGGAAGATGGCTTTCCAGATCTGGATACCCTTGGCTATGAGCAGTAAACCAGTTACACATTTAGATATTATGCTAACTTAATAGTTGCTTTGCCTGTATCTACAAATATGTATCTTTGATTCTGAAGTAGAAGTCTTATGATACCTGCCCTCTTGACATAAGTTACTAAATCCTTGGATAGGTGATCACTTCAAAATTTTGTTTCTTCAGTTTTTCTATATTTTCTTCCTTCCTTTCCAGTTTCAATTTGTGACTTTTTGTACCTTTATTTTTATTCTCTTTCTCAACATACTCATTTCCCTTCTTTATTCTCTTATGTGCCAATTCACTTACTCTTTCTGCTTCCAATTTTCTTCCTACTTTTGTTCTTTTTAAATTTTCTCCTATTTATCTCTCTCTAAACTGCATCTTCATTCTGTATCTGTTATTATTTGTGTTACTCATTCTCTCACTTTTTCTCCTCTAGGCCTTTACTACCCTTTAATCTCAATATTAGAACTTCATTTTATTCATTGTTAATAACCTGTTATAACACCCAAAAATGATAGTGGAAAGAATGAAGAGTTAGTAAAACTTCAGTCTTAATTTTATTAACTAACCCATCCTCTTATTTTTTTGAGAAATGACTCCTGACCCTCAGTTTCCTCATCTCTAAATATGGGGATAATAACTGCCTTACTCATTGCCATTTGAATGTTGTTTAGATGCAACAAAGTAATGTACGCGAGGGTTAAAAAAACAGTAGTAAGACATTATAGGGATCACTCAAAGAATGTGACTAGGTTGCTAAAAGTTGCTGAAAATAGAGCCTAACTCTTCTGGAGAGAACTTTTCAGGGCAATTAGAAAGGAAAGGAAGGCCAGGCGCAGTGGCTCACGCCTGTAATCCCAACACTTTGGGAGGCTGAGGCGGGCGGATCACGAGGTCAGGAGATCGAGACCATTCTGGCTAACAGAGTGAAACCCCATCTCTACTAAAAATACAAAAAAATTAGCCGGGCATGGTGGTGGGTGCCTGTAGTCCCAGCTACTCGGTAGGCTAAGACAGGAGAACGGCTTGAACCCACGAGGTGGAGCTTGCAGTGAGTGGAGATCATGCCACTGCACTCCAGCCCGGATGACAGAGCGAGACTCCATCTCAAAAAAAATAAAGAAAGGAAACTTAAAATTTGCATTATTTTACAAAGTGAAGATAATCTAATAATGGAAAAATTATTTGCATGGAAAGCACAGCAGGAAGTTTAGGTGCTGGGTTCTAAGTCTTTATTAAGTATTGGCTCTACAGAGCTAGATTATATGCTGAAGTGGAAACAGCTTAGGACCATCTCTAGCAGGATATTTTTCACTTTGCATTTCAGCTTCATAGTTAATATATTTTTATTGCAGAACCTGGATGAGTCCAATCTGGAGTACTGGGTGAGATTATGAGGTGGCAGAAGGACTTGATCCTTGAGTCCTTGGGCATGAATAATTGAAATAAAAATAGATTGATGTTCTAAGTAAAGTACTAAAAGGCATTATAATTGAGAATCAGATGACTTACCAATGGTTTTTTGAGAGAGCTCTAAAAAAAAAAGAGAAAAGAAATCAGTAGCTATATATATATTTTATATATACTTTTTATTTATATACTTTAATTTGTATACTTTCCCTAGTAGGAATCTGCATCACTATTGTCAAGTTCAGCTGCAGTTGAGTAGTAGAAATGGTGACTTTCTTGCTATGGCAAACTAGTACATATAAGGGCCTCCTCATCTAAAAATCCCTTGTGTGATGCTGAGAAGCCATTGGAAATCTGCAAGGTTTCATTCTCCACTTTGTAGTTTGTTTTTATTGGTGAGGTGTACATTCACACAGCTAATCATGACTTACTGAAATGCTAGGTTGAAGAAAAATAAGGGTTGAAGAAAATGTGAACTCCAAACCCTTGAAATCCCAACATGGAAACCAGGTAGCGATCCCTAAGATACTGCAGGAAAGTAAAATGCTCACTGTGGAGAATCAGAGAGCAAACTTACTGATAGGTCCTGTAGCTCCGGCTGTGAGAGAGAAAGAGGGAGAAAGAAAAAGATATCAGTATGCTTCACCACTGTGAAGGAAATTTCCATTTCCCAACACTCGCTCTAGGGAGTATCATAAATAGAAACAACGGGAAGATCAAGAGTTGCTTGTATGGCGAGCCTCAGGCAGGCTCCCTGCACAATATAAGGGACCTACAGGAATGGAGGCCTCCTCCTGCTTTCAGTGATGGTTGAAAATCTTCAGAGGGTTGGGAAAGACTCACTCCATATTAATCTGTTATGCCTCTATTTTTCTTCTTACATTTTCTTGCCCCTTGCCCCTAGTTTCCTTAGAGACATGGTTTATTTGAAAGGTGTACCTTCCCTTGCTGATGGATCATTATGACTATTTCTAAGAGGGCTGTTTTGGTTTATATTTTTAAATGTTAGCCTGTGAGATTTCTTAACACTTCGTGCATGGCCTCTTTGGAAACTATGTAATAGGAATGCCAGGGGAGTTGAGAAAGACAGTGTTAAAAAAGCAAGTCACCCCTAAACCTCAGCATCACACAATATACCCATTAGCAAACCTGCATATGCACCACCGGAATCTAAAATAAAAGTTGAAATTATTTTTAAAAATGCAGGGCAGATCAGGCCCCAAGACCTTGTAGGTCAGATATCAAAGGGACCAGAGTGGAAAAACAAACTTGATACTTACGAATAGGGGCTGTGAATTGCACTGAAATACAAAAAGGAGGAAAGTGTGGTTTGACATTAATAGAATTTTCATTTTACCAGTATTGTTTCTAAAGAAACTATGAAGCAATTCAACCAGAGGAGAACAACTACTGTGGGACTGCAGATGATCTTAGCCTGGAAGCTGCATAACCCTCCTACCAGATCAAATCATTCAGCATCCATCTTAAATGAGAAATTTAAGTAACTAAAAATAATAAATATAAATAATTAAAATAAACTACAGTTTTAAACATGAATTATTTGGCTTTCCCTTGTCCTAAACTCAGTAGCAATTCAGGATATTGTGTCTGATTGCTTGGGCATCAGAAGGTGTCAGAAGATTTGAATACAATTAAGAAGTATGAGTGAGAAATCCTGCAGGGGTAGAAATGGTAACAGTTAGGATGTGGAGAGGACCCTATATCCTACAGAAGGCCAAAGAACATTAGAGGAAACAGAAAAGGAACTCACTTATAGGTCTAATAGTTCCAGTTAAAATATGGAAAAAACAAAATAGAACTAATGAGAAAATACTGTTTGCATTTAAATTCTTCCTGGGAAAACATCACAAATGTAGACACCAGGAGCAAAATTTCCACTTCAGTGGAGGAACAAATTAAGTTTATAAATGCTTCTTTCTTCATCTTGGAGGATCCCGGTTACTGGTGGAATCTGCCAGCTGGAACTGTGGAGACGCACATTTGGTCAGGCAGCGTTCCTTCCCCTTTCCCCACGGGTGTCCTGCTTGTATCTCAGGAGATTACACAGGCCATTGCCTGTCTTCCAGCTGGCTAATTTGAACTTGCTTAGCTAGAATCTATAGCCTCATCTGAAGGAGACAGTGGGAATTGCTGTCTCTGTAGTGATTTTGGCCCTTATTCAACAGAGTAACTTGGCCTGCCATGTAAAAGGGAATAGAAACTGCTAGGTTGACTTAAGACATTTATAGGTATGAGTGTTGGGCAAAGGAATTGAGACACTAGACCCACATACTTGTTAATAATGCAGTAACAGTCTTCTTCTTTATGACCACACACACACATACACATACACACACACACACCCCACCACACCTCTCTACACCTCATAGGCTATAAGTGATTCTCTCACCTTGGCCTCCCAAAGTGCTGGGATTACATGTATGAGCCACTGTGCTTGGCCTAATATGTGCTTTTATGATACCTACCCAGTATTTGCTCTCAAAGTTTGACTTGATTATTTTAATAATGTTCCATTTGTGTAAATAATCCAAGAGGAGTAGACACAGGATGTGATATACCATGAGCTTTAATTATCAAATCACTTTTTTTCTCCTTCCTTCAGAGTTAGTCCTGTCTCAGGGGCTCAAGCTCTGAACATCCTCAAAAATGAAGGATAGAAATGTGTTAAGAAGTGAATGAAACCCTGATGAGTTTCATCTTTCTTGTCTTTGGCTTTAAGGTCACTCTTGGTGTGGGGAATCTGCAGGGCTGGAAAAGCTGGTTAAATTTGGACCAAGTGCATTCATCTTTTTATTTCCTCTCTCAGGGCAGAGAATTAAAATCCTGTAGAGCAATGGTTCTTAAACTTTGGTATGCACGCAAATCACCTGGGAATCTTATTAAAATGCAGAGTCTGATTTAGTAGGTCGGGGTGGGCAATAGGCTGAGACTCTGCATATCTAAAACTCCAGGGTGACGTTGATGCAGGCCCTTGGACCCACTTTAAGCATCAAGGCCATAAAGGGCTGGCAAAATCTCAGATCATATAAAAGTCATTGTTTCCATTTACCATTTTTTTTCCTTTTTAAATCAACTTCCTCTCACTTATTCCTTATTCTCTATTCCCAACCAGTGCTTCTTCCAGAGATATATGCTACAGTTTCATTTAAAATTCTATCTGGATACTTATTTCAGATTTATTCTTTGTTCATAACAGGGGATATACATCCCACACAAACATCAGTGACAGTCTGGGATCCTCGGTCAGTGAGCTGGGACTCACTGCATGTCACTGAAATTTTCTTGGTGGGTCTTAAGTAGAATGGCCACCATCAAGCCTCTTTCTTTGAGTGTTACTGGGTTTTCTCTCAGGGGAATCTTTCTTCCTTTCACTTGACCATTTTTTGTTCTTCACTCTTTTCCCTTTGCTGTTGAATCTCAAGATTTCGGAAAAGTTAAAGGCAATAGTACTTTCTTACAGAGGCACCCCAGTTTATTAAGATAAGAATAGGGAATAAACAAGGGGAAAGGAATGGACAATTTGTGAAAGAAATAAAAAAATCTAGGAATATGAGTGTCTTACATATTCTAACAGTTTAGTAAAGCAAAGCACATGAGAATTAAAGGGCAGAAAAAGAACTTACTCATGGCTCCTGCAGTTCTGGCTAAAATACAAACAAAAAAGGTGAGTTTGAAGAGAGCATGACTCAAGGGTGTTTATCTCAGGGAGTTTCAGATCAAGCATTTACTACATATTTGATTTACATGGAAAGGCAGCAAGAAGGTAAGTAGGCATTTTCCTTTTTTCCTCAGGAGACTGTTAAAATCATACTCCCTGCAGTTATTTTTCTTATTCTTAATTTTCATTATCTTCCTGCTGTCAAATCCTTCTAAAGGTTATAGATAATTTTCCCTGGCCCCAGAATCTTTTTCACAATTTCATTAATTAATCTAGTTTTTATTATAAGAATTTCCACTTTGTTAAATGAAAAAATTAATCAGTCACTTAGAGGATCTTGAAATCAGTCTCAAATTCCTCACACTGGTAAAAGAGAGAACAGTAAAATTGCAAGTTTTTCTCCTTTCCTCCATCTTTATGTGCTTTCTCACCACCTTCCCCATTCCTCTGGTAGCAGGCACATTATAGAATATCAAAATCATTACACATGGTATGCATGTATCAAAATATCACATGTATCCCATAAATTTGTACAATTATTAGGTGTCAGTAAAAAAAGGACTGAGTTGTATATATGGGAAACTTACAAGGAGGTTCTTCAGTTGTTTGTAAACATTTTATACTACCTATAATAAAAATTGAAAAGTGTAACATTACTTAGATTTAGACTTTCAGAAGGCATGGAGATAGACAATCCCATTCCCTCCTCCCCCTCCTCAGGTGTGGTACAAACAGTCTTGAGATTAAAGAGCTGAGTCCGACTTTTGCTATTCTCTAGCTCTGTGATTTTGGGCAAGTCACTAAATGTTTTGAACATTAATTTCCTCATCTCTAAAACAGAAGTTGTGTCCTCTGTCTTACCTATATTGTGAAGTTGCAGTGAAAAATCAGGAGTAATAACAGAAGGGAAAGATGAAAAGTTGTATTAGAAATGTTATGGAAAGAAATATTCAGTAACTATAAATGAATGAAACACTTCGGCAAAGTAGTAAGCTACTTTATATTTTACTTTTTTCTGCTTTAATTTTTCCTCTTATTTCTGACTGTCCTTTGGAAAGTTCTGAGTCCTGACAGCAGAGTATTATAATGTGCACTTAATTCTGTTTTTATTTTTGATTTATTAATTTCTGTTATTTTAATCTTTAAAACAACCCTATCTTCTTGTGTACCTTAGTACCTTAATTATGTCATTTTAATCTCTGTTGCTTCTGTCTTGAGAAATAACCAATCATATTTTAAGATGTTGAAAATTTTGCAATTTTTTTTCTTAAAATAATTGAATAATTTGTTTCCTTCTTTGTGTATAATTATTTTTCGCTTATTTGTTACTTTGCTGTTTTGGGGAGGGAAATAGTAGCTTTCCCCAGAAATGACAGGATCTACCCTCAGCATTTGGGAAGAGATGTCTGTTTTTCTATGTGGTATTTTAGGCCGTCAATCACTGAACTGTCAGTTTCTTGAGAAGGTGAAGCCACTCCTACCACCAAATAAAGATAATTTTAAAAGGACAGTTTTCATATACTTAATTTTTTAAGATTTAAGATATTAACCTATGTTAGGAGTGACAAGTATACTTGAGTTATGCATATTTAATTTTGATCAATTATTAATGACTATCTGGAGATGACAAGAATTTTAGGATACATGTGAGCTGAGCAGGAAAGAGAATCATGATCAATTACTGATTTCTGCCACAGGCAAAGGCATGAGCAGAAATGTAACACAGGTCATATATATTCCATTCCTGACCTAAAGTAATATGGAATAATGAGGAGAAAGGAATTTTTCTTTCTTTTTTTTTTTGAGACAATCTCTCTCTGTCACCCAGACTGGAGTGCAGTGGCACAGTCTCGGCTCACTGCAACCTTCACCTCCTGGGTTGAAGTCATTCTTGTGCCTCAGCCTCCTGAGTAGCTGGGATTACAGGCATGTGCCACCACGCCCAGCTAATTTTTGTATTTTTAGTAGAGATGGGGTTTCGCCATGTTGGCCAGGCTGGTCTCAAACTCCTGGCCTTGAGTGATCCCCTCACCTCGGCCTCCCAAAGTGCTGGGATTACAGGTGTGAGCCTCCATACTGGGCCAAGAAAGGAAATTCTTGAACTGAGTATTTTGTGGCGTTTCCCAGCTGAAGACAAATAAGCAGGGCAGTGGAAGGTATTTACTTGTTGCCTTACAGAGTAAAGAAGAAGATAAAAAAAACTTACGATGTACATATCCTGCCAAAATACTGAATATTGTGTGTTTTGGATTAAGGACATTGTCTCTGTGGATATTCTTCCTAATGGGAGCATCAGAGTTAGTTCTTTTAGAGAGTACCACATTTTCCATACCAGACAGAATTCCTGATTATCTCTGTGGGGATCGATCACAAACTCAGTTGCATTAAGGGGCCCAGCAGGTCTCATGATTGTGAATCTGCTAGTTATAAGGGATAGAGATGGTGAAAAGTCCATGCCCTACCCAGAGGCATTCAAATTCAAAATTTAAAATAATACCATCCTGACCAAACAAAACACATCTATAGGTGGCACCGGGCTAGTGGTGGCTAATTTGGGAGCTCTGTTTTCAGATGAGAAGAGATTTAAGTGAGCACCATCTATACTTCAACAACAGTGCACTTTGAAATCAGTATCATATGGTTGTGGCCTGAGTTGGGATAGGGCAAGTGAATCCCTTCCTTTTCGTTACTTTAAGGATAGGTATTGGTTGGATCACATTTAATTAAAACCTGTGAGTAATAAACTTGTTCAGATTGTGAAGCATCTGGAAGTTTTGATACCTTTTAGAAAAAATAATGAAATATGATATATTTAATTCCATCTTTGAACAAGAAACAACTTTGCTAGTAGGAAATGTGACCCTAATATGCAACCACAAATGTAATAGTCAGTATGAAAACTTTTGTAGGAAAAGCACATAGATCAGAAAAAAAACCCTGTCCAGTCAGGATTATCTGTTTTGGATTTTTTGCCGATTTCCTCACTTCCCTCCTCCTCATTCCTGTCACAGTCTTCCCTTCATTTAGAAAATGTGTTCTTTTTTTTTTTTTTTGACAATCAATTGAAATCAGTTCCAGAAGGTTTATTTAAACTTTACCTCTTTGGTTTTCCTCCCTTCTCTATTCATTTTTTCCAGCTTCCCTCACTTCTCTGTTCTTTTTTTTTTTTTGAGATGGAGTCTCACTCTGTCACCCAGGTTGGATGGCAGTGTTGCGATCCTGGCTCACTGCAACCTCCTCTCCCAGGTTCAAGCAATTCTCCTGCCTCAGCCTCCCGAGTAGCTGGAATTACAGGAGCATACCACCACGCCCAGCTAATTTTGTATTTTGGGTAGAGACGGGGTTTCAGCAGGCTGGTCTCGAACTCCTGACCTCAGGTGATCCACCTGCCTCAGCCTCCTAAAATGTCATGATTACGGGCGTGAGCCATGGTGCCCAGCCTCTTCTCTGTTCTTTTATTTGATTAATTTTCAACTGGTTGTTGAAATTAGTTATGTAACGGACTTGAAATTTTAATGAGAGATTAAATAACTTGCCTATGTTCAAATAAATAGTAAGTAGGGAGCTGGGATACAACTCCAGTTAGCCTGGCTCTAGAGTCTGCATGCTTAACTGCTAGGCAATAGTCCTCTGTAAATTGAAAATAATTAACAAGCAAATTTATTTTAAAAGTGATTTTTTAGTAGGTCTTATTATATTATTCTCAATTCATGGAGAAATAGTGTATAGTTCAGATACGAAGTGAGCAATAACTTTTTCCTAAGCCTACAGTCAGAGTGTACAGCATAATTTCCTCCCTTGAAGGTAGGCTGTGATTAGAGAGGGACATAGTCAAGGGAGGATCTGTTTAAGATGGAAGAAAATCAAACCTGTTCTATACCTTAAGGAGAAGCAGTTAAAGGAAGGAAAATATTTAAAGATGTAGAAGAGAGAAGAAATGACTTCTGAAGAAATAAGGGGGTGAGAGGATGTGGTCAAAGGCAAGAATAAAATAATTTGCTTAAGCAAGGTGGGAGGTCTCCTTGTCTTAGAGAGGGGGAAATGTGAGAAAGGTGGGCATGATCCAGTTAAGATGGCTAATGAAGGACAAGGTGGAGAATTATGAGTCTTAAGCCCTTTCACCCTGACATAGCAGGAAACAGGAAATAGTTAAGACAGGGAGAAGTCCTCTGCCTAGCATAGGAGCCCAACAACACCAGAGTTTGAAACAAGAAGATAAACTTACTCATGGATCCTTGAGGTAAAGCTAAAGAACAATAACAATTATTCAAGTCAGTCTAAAGTTTCAATAATCCATCAATTTCCCAAAAGTCTTCCCAGAAATAGTGTCCTCCCTCAGGTTATTAGACTTTCCATTCCCCTGTAGGTAGGCTCATAAAGTGGCCACACTTGCAAGTGATCCCATGTCTTTTCCCCCTTAGACACTATGCAGGAGTGAAAGTTTCAGGGGAATATTCAGCTTTACTATATTTCCAATATTCTGATTTCATTCACCACCTTTCTCCTGTCTTTTCCGTTTCTCCCTCCCTCTTTCTTTCATCTTTTCAGTTTGGAGAGTCTTCTTTCCCTAATGTGATAGCCTCAAGAACCAAAGAAAGGCAATGTTACAAAGGTTCTAGTTTTATAAGAAAAGAAAACCGAGATTGAGAAAGGGAAGGGCTGTGCCTGAATATGCAAAAAATTAAAGGCAGTTTTAGCTTCCAGTTTGCTTGACTTTAAGTTCAGCACGTTTTCCTTCATATTCTTTACAATTTTCTCTTCTTTCTGAATATTCCTTAAACATTTTTTTCTTTAACGTACTGACCATCTTCCCTCTCCAACATTTTGTTTCTGTTCTTTTTGTTCAGCTCTAAAATGTTTCTCTTGTAAAATAACCTAAATTCTAGGGCAAGACTTGTAGAAGGTTTAATGATATTAACTTTGATAGTAATTTGTACAAGCTACCATAGAATGAACCCTCACTATATTCAGTGGAGAAAGTCTGGGCATTAGTCTTATTTGTCTTACATTGACTGTTAAATGACTATGCAAAGTTTGATAATTCTCACCATCTTTTGGAACTGCATTTATTTAATTTAATTTATTTATTTATTTTATTTTATTATTATTGTACTTTAAGTTTTAGGGTACATGTGCACAATGTGCAGGTTAGTTACATATGTATACACGTGCCATGCTGGTGTGCTGCATCCATTAACTCGTCATTTAGCATTAGGTATATTTCCTAATGCTATCCCTCCCCCCTCCCCCCACCCCCCACCCCACAACAGTCGATCAATGACAGGGTTTAATAATTTTTCTTCTGCTCAACTTTTATGATTCAATGAGGCTAAATTCACAAACTAAAGCCCTGTGTTCTTGGGCCTTTTAGCCTTAGGGTAAGTTTTGGTAGGAGAAGCAAAAAGGCTGACTTTCTAGAAATAGGGCCTGCCTAGAAAGAGGTAAATAAGGAGGACAAGGTCCCTAGACAAACAAGCGTTTATGGTACTGAAACAACCAAGAACTTGCTCAATTCCCTTGTAAATTGTGCTAGATACCCACATCTCTAAGTGCATGTCAATTGCTTAAAAGCATCAGCGTTAATCCCCCTTTGAAAAGAAGATCAGAAAAAAAATCCCTCACACTACCCTCACCAGGGAGCATCAAATCCTCTATGCCAGCTGTAGTGTGATTTTTTCATGGATTGTTTAGGCATCTTATATTTTGGTGGTGTGGCCGAGGCCCAGAATGACATGTAGGACTGATGATGAGCAGAGAAGGTGATTCCCTTTTCCTTTTCTTCTCAGCCTTTGTAAAGACTGAAACTGTTAAGGGAACTTGGAAGACCTTAGGTTTTTTTTGGGGGGCTGGGGTCGGGGGGACAGGGTTTCACTCTGTTGCCCAGGTTGAAGTTCAGTGGTTGCATAGCTCACTATAACCTCTCACTACTGGGCTCAAGTGATCCTCCCAACTCAGCCTCCCATGTAGCTAGGACTACAGGCATGCCACCATGCCCTACTAATTCTTTTAATTGTTCTGTAGAGACAGAGCCTCACTATGTTGTCCAGGCTGGTCTTGAGTTCCTGGCCTCCAGGATCCTCCTACTTCGGCCTCCCAAAGTGCTGGGATTACAGGTGTAAGCCACCATGCTTGGCCCTTAGTCTTTTTTTTTTTTTTCTTTTTCCTCTACTTGCTTTTAGGAGGTGGAGGACCTTAGTCTTGATTAAACTTTCCTTAGTTTCCCTATGTGCTCCCTTCTTATTATCTGTTTGCTCTCATTTCTCTTTCCTAAATTGAGAAATAGAAAATAAACTGAAATATGGTTCCTGGAATTGGCACTGAGGAATAATAATAAAAATCCACATCAGTCTGAGTTAATTGGTTTATAAAGTATATAATTCTCACCGAAATCATTTTAGAAAGGGGACCCTTGATTAGGTCTCATTAAGTACAATGGGCCATCAACTACTAGAATGCTTGGGTTTGAATTCTGGTTCCTCTACTTACTAGCTGTGTTACTCTGCCTGTTTTTTTTTTTTTTATGCCTAAGTTTATTCATTTTAAAAATAGGATTTATAATATCTACTTTCTAGGATTATTATGAAGAAAAAATGTTTAGGACAGAGCCTGGAGCATAATGCTCAACACATATTATTATATCATCATTTCAGATTGCAGTCCTTATCTGTTTATACATGTATGGGTAATGGACCATAGTCTCCTCTATCTTGGGCACTACGCTAGTTCAAGATTTTCACGGAAATAATAGGATCAAGCCCTTTGAGGTCCTGGTTTGAGAGGCCCTTTCTCGAGTTATCACAGTCCAGTGAATTGCCTATGAGAATTATCTCTCAAGAGGGCCTCATCCATTCTGTAGGACCACACGTCATCTTGAGCTTCAGGGATGAATAGCTTCCTGTGGCCCTATGCATCTTTCAGCTAAATACTCTACATAACTAATTACTCATCATCCTTTGAGATTAATCCCAAAATGTGTCATATCCTCATTTAATTTACTCACCATCCAAAGACAATTCCTCATCTTAAGGATGCTTATTATCATAATGCTTTTTATAATTCCTAATCGGGACGTTCCTTCCACCTCTCCTTACTCCCTAAAACACACCATGCTGTCTGAAATTCATATCAGCAAATTTTCCTGTATCTTTAACTTCTCCAAACGTTTTCTTCACCGTCTTGCTTTAATATTCCTGTATCTCAAGCCTGGGTGCGGTGTCTCATGCCTGTAACCCCAGCAATTTGGGAAGCCGGGGAGGGCAAATCACTTGAGGCCAGGAGTTCAAGACCAGCCTGGGCAAGATGGCAAAACCCTGTCTCTACTAAAAATACAAAAATTAGCTGGGTATTGTGGCACACGCCTGTAATCCCAGCTGCTTGGGTGGCTGAGGCACAAGAATCGCTTGAACCCGGGAGGTGGAGTTGCAGCGAGCCGAGGTTGCACCCTGCACTCCAGCCTGGGTAATGGAGTGAGATTCTATCTCAATTTTTTAAAAAAATACTGTATCTCAGATGTTGCTCAAAGCATACAAAATTGCAGTTAGATGGGAGGAATACTTTCAGGAGATCTATTGTATAACATGGTGATCGTAGTTAATAATGTGTTATACTTGACATTTGCTAAGAGAGTAGATTTTAAGTGTTCTTACCACAAAAAGTATGTGAGGAAATGGATATGTTAACAGCTTGATTTAGTCATTCTACAATGTATACATATATCAACACATTATGTTGTATACCATAAATATGTACAATTTTGTCAATTAAAAATTATAACATTTTTAAAAAACCATGTCTCTTACAGCCCTCTTAGATTTTTTTTTTTTGAGACAGGGTCTCACTCTGTCACCCAGGCTGGAGTGCAGTGGCGTAATCACAATTCACTGTAGCCTTGACCTCTTGGGCTCAAGTGATCCTCCCACCTCAGCCTTCCAAGTAGCTGGGACCACAGGTGCACACCACCATGCCGGCTAATTTTTTATTCATTGTAGAGACAGGGTCTCACTCTGTTGTTGAGGCTGTGATGTCTGGTTTTTTGTATGTTTGTTTTAGAAAAAATCCATACCCATATACATGCCTGAATGTAGGTAAATGTCATTTTTGCTCCCCATTGCTGTTTCCGAACAGTCTTCTCCAGTAGAAACTCCTGTTGTCTTTGAAGCACATATGAGACTTTACTCTGTACCTCTCTCCTTCTTGCCATCATAAATAAATATGATGGTCATTCTCTCCCATTTCATTCTCTACCAGAAGCCAGGGTTGCCTTTTTAAAGCATAAATGTGGCTTTATCCCTTCCCTGATGAAAACAATGGCTTATTGTGGTGCTCAGAATTGTTCTCCATATTTTATTCTAAAAGACTTTTTGTGATCTGGCCTCTCCCTACCTTTCAAACTCCTCCACGATCTTTCACAACTGGCCTTCCTGCAATCTCTCATACATGCTACTCTTCTTCCCCTCTCAGGAACTTGGTGTTCTTTCTGCCTGAGATACTCTTCCCTAAGATCCTCCTGTGGCTGCCACCTTTTCGCCATTCAGAGTCAGTTCAGATATCTCCTCAGGGAAATTTCTTCTAATCTCCTAGCTAAAGGCCCTCACTTCTTGGTCTTGCTCTATCATATTATCTTAATTTGTTTTCTCCGTAGAATTTACTATGATAGTCTAGTAATCATAGTAGGAATTATCTAGAAAGGGAAATCATTGTATTTGTTTGCTTATGTGTTTATTTTCTGTCTTACCTCACTAGAATCTATGCTGTCTGTGAAATACTTATGTTGTCTTAGGTATAGCAGCTGCAGTGCTCTAAATGATTTCCCCTTTGGAGGGTTTTTATGGCAAGCCTGTCTCACATGGGTCCTCTGCAGATTTTGCTGAAGAAACTGAAGATTTGAGTTTATTGTTTAGCATGTTTCAACTCCCAAATATTTTACCCTTTCCATAAGTTAGATGAAAACAAAGTAAAACTAGATAAAACATGTTTTAATTATAAAAGTAATAAAATATTGAGCTTGATAGCTTTCTAAGGGCACCTGTTCACAGTTGTATATACAACAAAACAGCCTTATTCATGGGATAAGGTTATGGCACAGTATTGGATTAGCACACTAATTCTGATATTTTATATTAATTTACATTTTAAGATTTTCAAATTACATTTTAAAAATTGAAGTAATATATTTTCAACATATGCATGATTTTCTAAATTCCTTGGAACAAACATTTTATTTCCAAAGAATACTTTGGATTGGAAGAGTAAATACATTTAATGATGTCCTGGGGGTAGCTGGACAACCTCAGGACTTGGAGTCCAAAGGCCAGTGTTTAGAACCTCAGTTTTACTCTTTTGCTAGCTATATGCCTTGGGTCAAGTTAAATAATATCTTTAAATTTCATTTTTTCCTCATGTGTAATATCTGTAAATAGTCAAGAAAGATGACTTGCTTTAATTACAAACCTCTCCTTGTCCCCTACTTCCATTCCCTGGTCTCTTCACAAGCCTCTCTCTTCTTCCCTCCTATTCCTAAGTTAATGAATTTATTACTGTTTTGCTGAAACTATGATTGCCAGCTAAAACCATTTTAATCCTCTCTTTATTCTTTAATCGGTGGACTTCTCATTCTTCGAAGTTCTCATTAATTTTAGACAAAATGCTCAATGATGGGGAAGGAAAAGCAGGTGAGGGACAAAATCTCAGCAGGGTTAGGGAATGTTCCTTAGTTCTGTGACACACTAAAGAGACTTAGAATTTGGAAATATGAAATTTCCCTCCTTGCTCTCCTAAAAGTAAATATAAACAAAAAATTCATGTGGTTGTCTGGCTCAAAAACTATCCATTTCTTTCTTTTTTTTTTTTTTTTGCAGGGGACAGGGCAGGAATGAGTATCAGAACCAGGAACGCCTGGGAGCACCAAACCCTTAGTGTCAGTTGCAGCTCAGGGGGATAGGGAATTAGCCATCTCTTCCATTGCTGCCAGCCTGACTTGGGGATGCCTCAGGGAGGGCTGCCCTTTCGTGCTAGCCATGTAAAGCTTTAAAATTCTGAGGACACAGCTAATATCATTTATCCCTCATTCTATATTATCTTCATCCTCATTTTTCTTACTAACTTTTTGCTCTTATCCTTTATTTACTCTGTTTTTCCAACACTTCAGGTTTGGAAATTGCTCTCTTCATGTCATCATAATAAACCACTAGAAACTTGCATTTACTTTTGACTGATTATTGAAGTGTCTGGTTATGGAGAACAAAGAAATTGGAGAAATGTGAAGCTTAAGCTTCTGCTGTGCTGCAGCGAAGAAGTCTGGGAAGTTTAGGAAGATATCCTCTTGACTAAATGGGGCTAAATGTCAGCAGAATTGAAGAAAAGTAAAGGAACTTACCAATACTTGATCGAGACAGTGCTAAAATAAAACACATCAAAAGAAGAATGAGTTCTGTTTGTCCCAGGGAGAACTTAGATGCCATAGACACTATATTGCAGAAAGGTTGTGGAAAAGAAGATAGAAATGAGTCACAACTTATTTCCTGGTATCAATTGCAATGCAATGTGGTGAGCAGCTGGATATCTACATATGGATTCCAATACTTTTGTGGTAAGGTGGGACTACAAGATCTATGCAACCTGTCTTTCAATTTTGGTAAGAGAATAAAAATATTTTTGGAGATTGCTAGTTTCTCAATCTGAGGACATTTTTCTGTCCCTATAAGTCTTCTTTCATTGGCGATTCTGCTGCTCTGTTCTTTCCTTCTCTACCTTTCCTCCACCTCTTCCTCTCTCTCCTTAATTTTCTTTCTGTTTTCCCTTTGTTCGAAAAGATTTTTTGTTACACCAAACAGTTACCACCTAACTGCTTCAACAGGGGTTTCCACTTTCCAAAATTCACTTGTGCCCTATGGAGATGAAGAATAGCAAGAGACCAAATCAGGAAGTTCTTGAATAATATTAGAAGCTAAAGAGTCAAAGTAGTGAAAGTATTTAGAACCTCGGGGCTTACTGAAAGGGTGCTTGCTATTGAGGGGAATATTTCATCCTCTCCTTTAAGTGATTACTTTGAACATGGTATTTTTTAAAGTTTATAAAGTAGAGCTGAGCTTGAAAACTAAAAAGAGAAGTAATATATTCAAGAAAAATATATCAAGAAGGAACCCATATTCTTGGTAATGAATGAGAAGTTTTACCACCCATGTGATACCTTATTGGGGGACTGAGGCTTAAACACCTGATCACCAGCAGAAATCAAGGCCATAGGCCTCATGCATTGTAAGAACCTGGGATTATCTTCCTGTTTAATATGTTAGGTTACATGGAAAAAGGGAATTAATATTGCAGATGAAGTTAAAGTTGCTAATCAGCTGACCTTAAAATAGGATGATGATTTTGGTATATCTGAGTGGGCCTAATATAATCACAAAGATTTTTAAGAGTGGGAGAGGGAGATAAAAGAGAGTAAGAGAAAGAGGTACTACAGTGGAAGAAGGGCAGAATGGTGTGATGTGAGGACTTGATTCATTTTTGTTCACTTTGAAGATAGAAGAAGGGAGCCATGAACCAAGGAATGTGGCCAGCCTCTAGAAGCTGAAAAAGCAAGGAAACAGATTTGTTCCTAGAACCTCCAGAAAGAATGCAGTCTTGCTGACAACCTGATTGTTGTCCAGGGAGACATATATGACAGATTTATAACCTATGGAACTGATAGATAATAAATTTGTGTTGTTTTAAGCCATTAAGTTTGTGGTAATTTGTTAGAGCAGCTATAGAAAACTAATACAACGTGGTTGACTATTTCCCCAAAATTCCCTTGTAGTTAGGTGTGGCTATATGCTTGAGTTCTAGCCAATCTAATGTTGTTAGAAGTGATATGAAAGTCATCCAGGCTTGTTTGTAAAGTCATCCACTCATGATCTTCAAGCTTTTTTCTTTCTGTTCACTTAAGGTGGACTAACATGATGAACTTAGGAGCCATTATTTGAAGATGGTGGAGTCATTAGTTAAGATGAATTTGAGTGCCTAAGACACTGCTGAGAGAAGGGCCATCCGCCAATCTGGAATTCCTGTTTTGGACTTCTCATAAGTAAGAAATAAAATTCTATTAGGGAAAACCACTGAGATTTTAAGATCCGGGGCTAACTTAATCAGTGCAGATAAGAAATATAAAAGAGAAGTCACAAGATCTGAAAGATGGAAGGAAAATCTTTACATACATAGTAATTTTAGAAGTAGAGACTACAGTTTGTTGTTAGATATAGATATAAATATGGGCAAAATTCATAGCAATTAAAGTTAAATTTTTCTGTAATTAGAAAGATTGAGTCCACAGAATGGAAACTCTTGAATGTTTATGAGTGTGAGATTAACTTCATTTATCCTGCTCAGAGTAAATGGAAGCATTCAGGATTTTCCATTGTGGGTGTGAGATTCACTTCATTTATCCTGCTCAGGATAACCTCACACTCATAAAAAGTTAATCTCACACCTATAAACATTATAATTAAATGCAGAGCACAAAAATAAAGAGAATCTTGAAAATATATTTACTTAGGAACAAACATCAAACTAGTGATAGATTCTTATCAACAATAATAAATAATAAACAACAAGCAAATGGAATAAATCTTCAAAGTACAGAGGGAAAATAATGTTCAATTCTATACCTAGCTAAATTTTCATTTAAGGCTGAAGGTGAAGTAAAGCTATTTTCAGCCATATGAAGGCTTAGAAAATTTTTCACATACATGTAGAGTTTAAAGAACCAGTAAAGGATTGTATTTGGGCAAGAAATAGAAGAGAAAAGACACAGGATGTAGCAAATAATGTTAAGCAAAAACAATGCTGAAATATTGTTGTAAGTCTAAGTAATAATTAATTGTGAAAATAAATAATTATTTTGTCTTTAAAAAGAATACCACAAACAAGATGGAGAATTTGGAAAGAGTAGTTTGGAGGGAAGATGGTCAAATAAAAGTTATTATCTAGTCTTGGAAGAAGATACCGATTATCTTTAATTTTTAAAGAAAAATTAAATAGTACACATGTTACAAATATCAGGATACATAAAACAAAATCCAGAAAAACACTAAGTAAAACAAAAGAAACAAGGAATTCTAATATACCAGCAGAAGGTAGAAAAGAAGATTTAAAAATGAAAGAACAGAGCATAGTACTGTAAGTTGAAAACACAATATAAATTGGAAACATTTAGATAAACATATAACAATTCACAATATAAAATGAACTAAATTCATCTATTAGGAAACAGAAAATTTTACATTGTTAATATGAACAAAGTCAAGCAATATGCCATTTAAAAAAGACACAAGACAAAAACAAACTTTTAAGGTTCAAAATAAAAGGATGAAAAATAGGCAAATACTAATTAAAACAAAGGTGTTAGAACAATGCTAATATCAGAGTGTAGAATTGAAGTAAAAAAATAGTCATGAGGATATGAGTGGATATGAGGATATGAGTTTCAGCAGCATTTAGAAGTTACTTAGATACTTATATTAGAAAATAAGAGCGCCCACTTTGGCAGCATATATACTAAAATTGGAATGATACAGAGAAGATTAGCGTGGCCCGTGTGTAAGGATGGCATGAAAATTCATGGTGTCCCATATAAAAATAAAATAAAAAAAGAAGATGAGAAAGTCTGGAAATTGATTAAGAGTTTCATACAGCAAGCTAGAAAAAGGAACAAAAATAAAGCAAAAGTAAAGAGAAGGAATTTTACCCATAGATATACATAGCCCAAGCTATGACAAGAAAATGGTTTTAAGAATTGGAAAAGGAAACTCAAGATTATCAGATTTTGCAGATGACATGATTTTTTACATATAGAATTCAAAAGAATCTGAAAATTATTAGAACTCTAAGAGCACAGCAGGGTGGCTAGATACAAAATCTACTCTCAAATATACAACATATAACTTATATTCCAACAATAATTATTTGTAAAATCCATGTAGAGAGATAGTATTAACATCCGAAACAAAAAACAAGTATGTGTATAAGAATTAATGCAGCAAAAGACATGCAAGACCTTTCTGAAGAAAATTATATTACATTATTGAAGGGTATATGAGAAAATTTGAATAGTAGGCAACCATGTTAATGCATGGGAATAATTGATTTTACAAATTAATCTACAGGCTCAATGAAATTTCAATGAAATCCTAATATGACTCATAGATTTTGAGAAATTATGAAATTCTTGTGTAAGAGAAAAGGTCAAAGAATAGCCAACACATTTCTGAAAAAGAACAAAGATAATGTGCTATTTTTTGTAATGTTATAAAGTTTTAGTAGTGAAAGCAATGGAGTATTGGTTCAGTAAAAGACAAAAGATCACTGGAACAGAAAATAAAATCCACGGAAAAACGAAATATATAAGATGAAGATGGCATTACAAATCAGCAGAGAAAGAATGCACCAGTCAATAAATCTAGTTGGAACAAGATGAGACGAAATCCCTCTAGTTGGTTTTCCAGATGAAAGGAAAATTAGATCTCACCTGTATTATTACTAAAATCACTCACCAAAACCAAAAAACAATTAACAAAGCCCCATTTGGATTAAAGTTCTATATGTAGAAAGGGAAATTTCAAAACTATTAAGAGAAAGTATTAGATAAAATCTTTGTGATACCCAGATAAGGCCAAAGAAACTAAAAAGCAGAAACTCTAAAAGAAAACAAGAGATTGACAAATTTTATTACAATAAATTGTGTGGTGCTGGGGGAGAGTGAGTAGAGGCCTTCTAAAAGTCAAGAGACAGCATAAAAATTTAAAGCTAAGAGACAGAATTGGATGAGATAATTGCAGATATTTAACATAACATATAAAAGTTGATCTTTCATAATAATAAAGAATTACTACAGATCAATAACTAATAGATAAATGGGTAAAGTAAATGAACAAGCAATTTATATAGAGTGAAGCCTCACTAGCTAGTAAGCCTATGAGAAGATACTCAATTTCAGGAGTGAGCAGGGAATGCAGATTTTAAAAATTGTATACGTATTCAAGTGGCAATAATAGAAAAATATGACAAAATCTGGGATTGTTACTAATGCAGAGAAATTGGAAATATTTATTTATTTTTGTATGCCTCTATGTAACTACCAAGGAGCTTAATTAATAGCTACTAAAATTTAAAATATGCATAAATTACATAAATGCTCATATACAATGTGAACACTAATCCTACTTCAGGGTATGTACCCCGGATAAACTCTTTTCCATCTACTTAAGGATTGTCTTTGCAGCATTATTTGTGATAGCAGAAATTGGAAACATTGAGAATGCATCGGTAGTAGAAATAATAGAAAAATATTGTATATTCATAAGGTGGAATATTATTCAACAAAGTGTATAACCTGGATTTCAAAACTACATTTTGAGAGAAAAATGCAAATCGTAATGATACTATCAGACAGATGCCATTTTAGTAAAATTAAACATTAAAAAAAGATACTATATTTTGTTCAGTGATAGGTAGAGACTATAAATATATGTAAATAGACTTAAATATTTAAAATATATTAATAAGCCTTTGGGAAGAAGGGAGTGGAATATGTCTATGATAACTTGAGAAATATGACAAGAATATTATCAATTTGTCACATCTAAGGTGTGATATACAAGTGTTAATTATTTTTATACTTAATTTTAAAAACTTTCTTAAAAGAGAAAAAATACAGAAAAAATAGGGCTTGCAAACCAGATGACAGTAGAATTGAAAGAAAACCACAAAGCACTTACCTAGAGAGTTGGTTGATGGTGCTAAAATACACACACAGAAAACATGAGGTGAATCATGAGAGTTTGGATCCCTAATCTTTACATATCAGCTTCAGTTGCTGTCACCCCCTTCTCAGGAGTTAAAGTCTAGGCCCCGGGAGTCATCACTGATCTGGTGATGGGTACTGACAGCCACTCCCACCAGCTACTGCATATGCTTTCCATCTCTAAAAATGGGTTTAATTTTTAGTAGGCAGATGCCATTCCTACTGCCCTAATTCCTCCCTCCCTTTTTTCCCTCTCTATTTTCTTCTCTCTCTCCCTTTTATCTTTATTACTTTCCTTTTCTCTTGCTCATCACTTCTATTGTTTTCCTTTTCTCCCAGCCAGATCATTCTAAACCAGCACTAGAAAACTTTATCTATTGCTTAGTATTCATATGACTTGACATATGACAGGATTTCTCTTTCCTCCAAAGCATTTACAATCTAGGGAAATGTTACTAATAGGAAGCAAATTTTTGTTAAGAAGCAAGATAATACTTACTGTAATCTCTTTTGGATCTCTCTGAAAACATAAACAAAAGAAAGAAAAATCAATTTGGATATTCTATTTCTGTAGTTTTGGTATCACTACAGAGGATTACCCAGTCAACACCCTCAAATATCCAGTTAGGCAAGAAACTGGAGACAAAATCTCCTCATGGCTTAATTTATAAGTTTAATGACATTAAAAAAACAGGCAGAGTTTAATTAAGGTAAATACATGTAGTGAGAAGAAATAATAAACTATACATGCAAACATTGAAACAGAAGAATGTATAGTTATAAGGTAAGTTGAGGTCAAATAAAAGAAGGAATGGCAAAATATTTACTCAGCTGACTGAGAATTCAAGTTCAGTGACAATATGGCAAATTATAATGAATGCAAATGTGTATATTGATTGCGATTGAATGTGCATCCTATGATCTAAAACTTGTTTCTTAGTGATGTCATGGAAACAGACTTTCTAAAAGATCTGGAGACAAAGCAAATTACATGGAAAACTAGTCATGTTATCACTGTTGTTTTCATAAAAGTGTAAAAGTAAATAGTAATATTGATACTTTGTAGTTGATTTAAATTATGTTGAATCATAATATCATTTGCTATTTCACTAAAGTATAGTTAAAGATCTACTCAGAAATGTGAAGACAATAGTATTTTTTTTTCAGCTTCTTTTCTGAAAATGAGTGCTCTCCTTCCATACTTGGCAGTCATTGTGATGGGAATTAAGTACAAAACACATTCTCTGTTTTATAATAATGTTTCTTGTTTCTCATGGTTCTATGGGGATTTTAAAAACGGTGTCTCAAGCCTGTAGTCCCAGCACTTTGGGAGGCCGAAGTGGGTGTGTTACCTGAGGTCAGGAGTTCGAGACCAGCCTGGCCAACATGGTGAAACCCTGTCTCTAGTGAAAATACAAAAATTCTCTGGGCCTGGTGGTACACGCCTGTAATCCCAGCTACTCAGGAGGCTGAGGCAGGAGAATTGCCTGTGCCCGGGAGACGGAGATTGCAGTAAGCCGAGATAGTGCCACTGCACTCCAGCCTGGCCCACAGAGCAAGACTCTGTCTCAATGAAAAAAAAAAAGGGAAAATACATCAAGATGTTAATAGAGTTGCCACAAAAATGGAAAATACCACTGAAATGCCGAACATTTTAATATGCTGCACTTGAAATTTGTTATAAAAACTTTCATGCGCTGCACTTAACATTTGCTAGAAAAATACTAAGAATAAATTTAATTTCAAAAAAATTTTGGAATAACCATGGCAGCTTTTATATGTGATATATTTAAGTTAAACTAAACTTTGAGTACTAAATTTCATGTACCTAAACTAACATAATGACCTTACCTAATATTAATATCTTCCTGCCAGAAGATTTCTATAGTCTCAAGTTGACCAGTACATTTATATTCCTATGTCTAGAAATAATGGAGGGAAGACTAGCAGGGCGTGGGAACCTAGAAACTTAGGATGACTGAGATTTATAGGTTATGTTAGGGGGACTGGAAAGTCAGAGAAATAGTCATTTGGGTTTATGAATTTTAAAGTATGACTTATTGAAACAACAATAAAATGTTTACTGATTCAAGTTTTTCCTTAAGAATGCAAGGGAGCCCAGATTAGAAAGATACTAAGATTGTAGGCTTGTACACTAAAGATCTGTAAACAGGAAATTAAAAATTAAGATATTACTAAATTACATAAGAATAAACTCTCTGACTGCCTAAAATTTGGAATTAGACAATTCTAAATTCCTATCCAGGTTGTCACTTCCAAGTCCTGTGGCCTTGGGCAAGTCATTAATGTTTTTTAAGCATAAGTTTCTCTTCTGTAAATTAGGGATAACAATAGTAAATTACTTTCTTCATTTAAGAGGTACTTATTAAGGATCTCCCTCGCTGTGGTGAGGTGAATAGACTATAAGAAGGCAAGAGGAGTATCAAGGAAACAAGGTAGGAGGCAAGAGATATTGGTGTTTGGGCAAGGATTGTCATGGTGGTGGAAGGTGGTTTGATTTGGAGTATAATTTGAAAGCATCAGAGATGGGATTTGATGGTGGATTGGATGAAGAGAGTAGGAAAGGAGTTAAATATCATTCCAAGGTAGATAGTCTGAGCAATTAGGTGAATACAGGTGCTAGCACCAGTGTGTAGAAGGGATTAGGGCTTGGGTTTTAGACATGCTAAGAGTGAGATGCCTTTCATATATCTTCAGGACACGTGTGCTATAATTATATAGGTTGGCTCACTGCACAAAGGGTTAAGGGAACTGAAATCCACAACAGTGTCTCTGGGGTGGGGCTGCATTCACTTGCAGGAAGGAACACCTTTTCCTAATATGCACCAAAGCAACCTGTAGGCTACTGGAGGCCTTGGACAGCCAGGGAGGGATTTTTGGGTAGCTCATCTTTGTGTGGTTGACAGGGTTGTTTGTAGATATTCAATATTAATAAAATGAAAAAATGCTCACCAGAATGACTAACATATAGTAGGTGCTGAGTACATGTTAATTCTCCTCCCTTCTTATAGTGTGTAGTTTTATTTTGCTTATCCGTGTACCCTTAAATTCCTAACACTGAGGTAGCTTCTTGCACTGGTTAAATCTGGTATTCTGGTAGACTGTTACTGGAGAGGTTTTTTCCCAAGAAATATGAGATGTAAATGACAACAGTAGACAACAGCAGTATTTCTTTGCACCCTTGGAATTTTATTGCACAAGTCATATCTTAATGTGATGAACTTTTAAGAATTTATTCCTTGATTTCTTTTTATTATTATTATACTTTAAGTTCTAGGGTATATGTGCACAACATGCAGGTTTGTTACATATGTATACATGTGCCATGTTGGTATGCTGCACCCATTAACTCGTCATTTACATTAGGTATATCTCCTAATGCTATCCCTCCCCACTCCCCTCACCCCACAACAGGCCCCGGTGTGTGATGTTCCCCTTCCTGTGTCCAAGTGTTCTCATTGTTCAATTCCCACCTGTGAGTGAGAACATGAGGTGTTTGATTTTTTGTCCTTGCGATAGTTTGCCGAGAATGATGGTTTCCAGCTTCATCCATCCATGTTCCTACAAAGGACACGAACTCATCCTTTTTTATTGCTGCATAGTATTCCATGGTGTATATGTGCCACATTTTCTTAATCCGGTGTATCATTGATGGACTTTTGGGTTGGTTCCAAGTCTTGGCTGTTGTGAATAGTGCCGCAATAAACATATGTGTGCATGTGTCTTTATAGCAGCATGATTTGTTTTATTATTATTATTATTATTATACTTTAAGTTTTAGGGTACATGTGCACAATGTGCAGGTTAGTTACATATGTATACATGTGCCATGCTGGTGCGCTGCACCCACTAACTCGTCATCTAGCATTAGGTATATCTCCCAATGCTATCCCTCCCCCCTCCCCCCACCCCACAGCAGTCCCCAGAGTGTGATGTTCCCCTTCCTGTGTCCATGTGTTCTCATTGTTCAATTCTCCTTTGGGTATATACCCAGTAATGGGATGGCTGGGTCAAATAGTATTTCTAGTTCTAGATCCCTGAGGAATAGCCACACTGACTTCCACAATGGTTGAACTAGTTTACAGCCCCACCAACAGTGTAAAAGTGTTCCTGTTTCTCCACATCCTCTCTAGCACCTGTTGTTTCCTGACTTTTTAATGATCGCCATTCTAACTGGTGTGAGATGGTATCTCATTGTGGTTTTGATTTGCATTTCTCTGATGGCCAGTGATGATGAGCATTTTTTCATGTGTCTTTTGGCTGCATAAATGTCTTCTTTTTAGAAGTCTCTGTTCATATCCTTCACCCACTTGTTGATGGGGTTGTTTGTTTTTTTCTTGTGAATTTGTTTGAGTTCTTTGTAGATTCTGGATATTAGCCCTTTGTCAGATGAGTAGATTGCAAAAATTTTCTCCCATTCTGTAGTTTGCCTGTTCACTCTGATGGTAGTTTCTTTTGCTGTGCAGAAGCTCTTTAGTTTAATTAGATCCCATTTGTCCATTTTGGCTTTTGTTGCCATTGCTTTTGGTGTTTTAGACATGAAGTCCTTGCCCATGCCTATGTCCTGAATGGTATTGCCTAGGTTTTCTTCTAGGGTTTTTATGGTTTCAGGTCTAACATTTAAGTCTTTAATCCATCTTGAATTAATTCAATGAGTAGTTAGCATTTGTGAGATCTGGGATGTTGAATTTCTCTTGACTACTCAGATTATTTTTTTCTTTTCTTTAGCTTTATTGAGGTATAATTATAAAAATTATATATATTTAAGGTATTACAGTGTGTGATTCTAATATATGTATACATTGTGAAATGATTGCCACAATCAAGCTAATTAATATATCTACCACTTCAAATACTTACTTCTATTTTTCATTTTGTGATGAGAATATGTAAAACCTACACTCTTAGTAAATTTCAAGTGTATAATACATTATAGTCACCATGCTGTACATTGGGTCTACATAACGTATTTGTCATAAAACTGCAAGTTTGTACCCTTTGGCCAACTTCTGCCCATTTCTTCCACCCCCTAACTTCTGGTAATCACCTTTCTGCTGAGTTCAACTTTTTAAGGTTCCATATATACATGAGATCATGTAGTATTTGTCTTTCTATGCGTGGCTAATTATACTTAGCCTAAGGTCTTCCAGGTTCATCCATGTTGTCACAAATGGCAAGATTTCTTTCTTTTCCTAAGGCTGTATAATATTTCATTGTGTGTGTGTGTGTGTATGTGTGTGTGTCTGTGTATCACATTTTCTTTATCCATTCATCCACTGATGGACACCTAGTTTATTCCTCTATCCCGGGTATTGTAAATAATGCTGCAATGAATATGGGAGTGCAAACATCTCTTCAGGATAATGATTTTTATTTCCTTTGAATATATGCCCAGAAGTAGCATTCCTGAATCATATGGTAGTTCTATTTTTAATTTATTGGAGGAACCACAATATTGTTTTCCATAATGGCTATATTACTTTACATTCCTAACAACAGTGTACAAGGGTTCCCTTTTCTCCATATCCTTGCCAACACTTGTTATCCCTTGACATTTTGAATGCATCCTATCTGGTGTGAGGTGCATTTCCTTGATGATTAGTGATATTGTGCACCTTTATTTATTAGTTGGCTGTAAGTCTTCTCTGAAAAAATGTCTATTTAGGTCCTTAGTCCATTTTATTTTATTTTATTTTGTTTTTTTCTCTCTCTCTTTTTTTTTTATTATACTTTAAGTTCTAGGGTACATGTGCACAATGTGCAGGTTTGTTACATATATATACATGTGCCATGTTGGTGTGCTGCACCCATTAACTCGTCATTTACATTAGGTATTTCTCCTAATGCTATCCCTCCCTGCTTCCCCCACCCCGCAACAGGCCCCAGTGTGTGATGTTCCCCACCCTGTGTCCAAGTGTTCTCATTGTTCAGTTCCCACCTATGAGTGAAAACATGCAGTGTTTGGTTTTCTGTCCTTGCAATAGTTTGCTGAGAATGATGGTTTCCAGCTTCATCCACGTCCCTACAAAGGACATGAACTCATCATTTTTTATTGCTGCATAGTATTCCATGGTGTATATGTGCCACATATTCTTAATCTGGTGTATCATTGATGGACTTTTGGGTTGGTTCCAAGTCTTTGCTATTGTGAATAGTGCCACAATAAACACACGTGTGCATGTGTCTTTATAGTAGCATGATTTATAATCCTTTGGGTATATACCCAATAATGAGATGGCTGGGTCAAATGGTATTTCTAGTTCTAGATCCTTGAGGAATCACCACACTGTCTTCCACAATGGTTGAACTAGTTTACACTCCCACCAACATTGTAAAAACATTCCTATTTCTCCATATCCTCTCCAGCACCTGTTTCCTGACTTTTTAATGATTGCCATTCTAACTGGTGTGAGATGGTATCTCACTGTGGTTTTGATTTGCATTTCTCTGATGGCCAGTGATGATGAGCATTTTTTCATATGTCTGTTGGCTGCGTAAATGTCTTCTTTTAAGAATTGTCTGTTCATGGACTAAGGTTCATGAACAGATATGAACCTTAGTCCATTTTAAAATCAGCTTATTTGTTTCAGCTGTATTTTGAGTTGTATCTTGCTTTTGAGTTGTATGAGTTCCTTATATATTTTGGATATTGCTGTGGTTTTAATGTCCTCTCCGAAACTCATGTTGAAACTTAATCTTCAATGTGACAGCATTGAGAAGTGAGGCCTTAAAGAGGTGATTATATCATGAGGGTTCTACCCACATAAATGGATTAATCCACTAATGGATTAATGAGTTGTCAGGCAAGTGGAACTGGTGGCTTCATAAGAAGAGGAACGGGCCGGGCGCGGTGGCTCAAGCCTGTAATCCCAGCACTTTGGGAGGCCGAGGTGGGCGGATCACGAGGTCAGGAGATCAAGACCATCCTGGCTAACACGGTGAAACCCTGTCTCTACTAAAAATACAAAAATTAGCCGGGCGTAGTGGCAGGCGCCTGTAGTCCCAGCAACTCGGGAGGCTGAGGCAGGAGAATGGCGTGAACCCGGGAGGCAGAGCCTGCAGTGAGCCGAGATCGCGCCACTGCACTCCAGCCTGGGCAACAGAGCCAGACTCCGTCTCAAAAAAAAAAAAAAAAAAAAAAAGAAGAGGAACGACCTAAGCACAGCATGTTAGCCACCTTGCCATGTTATGCCCTGTACCACTTCAGGAATCTGCAGAGAGTCCCCACTAGCAAGAAGGCTCTCTTGCGCCACATGCGCCCCCTCAGCCTTGGACTTTCCATCCTCCATAACTGTAAGAAATAATAATACATTTCTTTTCTTTATAAATTACCCAGTTTCAGATATTCTGTTATAAGCAACAGAAACAGATTAAGACAAATATTAACCACTTATCAGATATATGGTTTGCAAATATTTTCTCCTATTCTGTGAGTTGGCTTTCATTTTGTTGATTGTTTCCTTTGTTGTCCAGAAACAATTTTGTTTGACGAGATACCACTTATTTTTGCTTTTGTTACTGTGTTTTTGGTGTCATATAAAACAACTTGCAAAGACCAATGTCATGGAACTTTTCACTGTTTTATTATAGGAGTTTTATAGTGGCAAGTCTTACATTAAAGTCTTCAATCCATTTTGAATTGATCTTTGTGTATGGTATATGATAAGGGCCAATTTCTTTTTGTTTTTGCATATGGATATCCGGTTTTCCCAATAACATTTATCCTTTCCCTATTGGGTATTCTTGGTAACTTTATTTTCTCCCTTGTTAATTTTCTGTGTGGATGCTCTATTCATTGTCAATAATGGGTTACTGAAGTCCGCTACGATTATTATATTGCTGTTTCTCCCTTCAGTTATGTAAATATTATATATTTAGGTGCTCTGACATTATGTGCATATGTACTTATAATTTTTATATCCTCTTGATGAATTAGCCCTTTATAATTATATAGTGAGCTCCTTTGTCTCTTGTTATAATTTTTGACTAAAAGTCTATTTTGCCTGATGTAAGTATAGCCACCCCTACCGTCTTTTGTTTTCCATTTGCATGGAGCATCTTCTTTTCATCCCTTTACTTTCATTCTATATGTATCCTTAGAGCTGGAGTGTGTCTGCTACAGGCAGCATAGATAGTTGCAACTTGTTTTTAAATACATTTAGCTACTCTGTGTCTTTTCATTAGAAAATTTAATCCATTTACGTTCAAGTAATTATTGATAGTTAAGGACTTAATATAGTTATTTTCTTGGTTGTTTTTTGGCTGTTTAGTATATCCTTTCTTCCTTTCTTCCTGTCTTTCTTTGTGATTTGCTGATTTTCTGTAGTGGTATGCTTTAATATCTTTCTGTTTTGTGTATCTAGTATAGGTTTTTGGTTTGTGGTTACCATAAGCTTACATAAAACATGGTTTCAACAGTCTATTTGAAGCTAATAATAACTTAGATTATTAAAATAGATTACATACAAAAACTCTACATATTATTCTCCCTACTTTTTACATTCTCAGTGTCAAAATTTACATTTAAAAAAATTGTATATTCATTAACAAATTATATACTTTTAATATTTTGTCTTTTAACTTTTATATTAGCATTAAAAGTTATTTATATACCATCATTACAGTATTAGAATATTCTGAATTGACTGTATATTTACCTTACCAGTGAATTTTATACTTGGATATGTTTTCATTTTACTAATTATTGGCCTTTCATTTCAGCTTGAAGAACATTCTCTAGCATTTCTTGTAAGGCAGATCTATTGGTGATAAACTCCCTCAGCTTTTGTTTGTCTGATAAAGACTATCTCTTTCTCAGATCTGAAAAACAGCTTTACGGGTAAAGAGTTATTGGTTGGCAGTTTTTTTCTTTCAGCAAATTGAATATATCATCCCACTATGTACTGGCCTAGAAAATGTCTGCATAGAAGTGCTAATATCCTTTTGATGTACCTTTAAATGTGATATGCTTCTTTCAAGATTCTCTCTTTAACTTTGATTATTGACAATTTGACATAATGTCTTGGAGAAGTCTTCTTTGGGTTAAATACAATTGGAGAGTTTTGAGTTTCATATATCGAGATGTCTATATCTCTTCACAGATTTGGAAAGTTTTTAGCAATTATGCCTTAAATAAGCATTTATTCTATTTTATTTCTCTTTTCCTCTGAGACTCCAATAATGCAAAAAGTTAGCTCCCTTGATGGTGTCCCATAAATCTTGTACATATTTCTTCATTTCTTTTCTTTGTGGTTTTTTTTTTTTTTGTACTCTGACTAGATAATTTTAAATGATTGGTCTTTGACTTCTCTTATTCTTTCTTATACTTGATCCATCATCTTGGAAGCTCTCTATTTCCTTTTTGTTTTAGTTTAGGCATTACACCCTTCAGCTCCAAAATTTGTATGGCTCTGTTTTGTTTTTTTTTCTCTTTGTTGAACTTCTACTTTTGTTCTTGTGTTGTTTTCCTGATGTCATTATATTGTTTGTGTTGTCTTGTAGCTCACTGAGCTTTCTTATAACAATTGTTTTGGATTTTTTTGTCAGGCAACTGGTGGATTGATTTTTAGGCAAACCTTCATTTTTGGGGGTTAGTTACTGAAATATTATTGTGTTCTTTTAGTGGTGTCATGTTTCCTTGATTTTTATGACCTTGAAGTCTTGTCTTGTGTTTTCACATTTGAAGAAACAGTCACCCTGTTCAATATTTGTTTGTGCCTACTTCACAGGTGGGATTTTTTCCCTTTTTTTGAGAGAAAATCTCACTCTGCTACCCAGAGTGGAGCAGTGGCATGATCGTGGCTCACTGCAGCATCAAACTCTTGAGCTCAAGCAATCCTCCCACCTCAGATTCCTGAGTAGCTGGGACTGCAGGTGTGCACCACCACATCCAACTGATTTTTTTTTTTTTTTTAGAGACGGAGTCTCACTATGTTGCCCAGGCCAGTCTCGAACTCCTAGTCTCAAGAAGTCCTCCTGCCTCGGCCTCCCAAAGTGCTGGGATTTCAGGCATGAACTACCACACCCAGGGTAGATGGGATTTCTAAGATTGTGCTTTCTCTCAATCCTGCAAAGCCAGTCCAGGTTCTGAGAGCCTTCCCTTTGTTTTCCCTAGGGTGGTGCTCTGGAATTCTCAAGTTTGTGTCCTTTTTTCCGATCCTACAAAGTCAAACTGACTGTGAGATGTTTCCTTTTGTTGTCCATGGTGGCTCATTTGGGGACTCAGCCTAGATGGGAGAGTGAAATGTGTGAAAGGCGTGCCTGTGGGTCAGTAGTGCAAGGAGCATAGGTCACGCATCTCAAATGGCAGGCTTTCTGATGAGGCTTTCTGATGAGTGGGTTCTGCAGTCTCTTTTCCCTGTTCCCAGCCTCTCCTAACCATTCAACTATGCTGATCATCTCAATGTTCTGGGTGGAGTGAGAAATAAGTGGGCTTATCGGACAGCATCCTGAATGGCTGGGGGATGTGGGCACTCATTAAATTCTGCACATTTTTTCTGTGGGAGAAATTGTGGGCCAAGTGGGTCTGTCTCAGCATTGAGCTGTGCCACCTTGGGGGAGGAGTGATGTGGGTAAAGTGAAACTGTTCTTCTTACCCTCTTTAATACATCTGTTCTAGGATTTTATAACCTGACAGCGTGCTGGAACTTCTCTGCTGGACTCCTGGACTCCCACAATGGTATTGTCTCATCTGTGGATAGTTGTCTAAATTGATGCTTCTGTGTGGGAAGAAAGCTCCTATTCTACTATTTTGCTGATGCCTTTCTCTCATATTACTTTTGTTAAATAATTAGGAGTTGGATAGGAGAGGAATTGCATAGCTTTGGGGAAAATGGTGCCTCATAGCGTGATGGTGAACATTTGTGAACATTTCTCAGAATATTCTGTAACTACTTTGATTTCTTCTTCTTCTTTTTTAAATTTTGGTCAGTTTTTATAGCCTTTTATGTTGTGGCAGGAAGAAGCCTGATTTTCCTTTAATTTTACAAAAATCTCTACATATACTTACCTCGGTTATCATATGAAGTGTCTAGAGAATTGAAGAAAAATTATAAGATTCTTAATTTCTCATAAACAGACTCCTATATTAATTTCTTAGCAATACAATAATTTACCACTTTGTGTTGAATATGCATGTCGGGATCCTAAAAGAGAAGATAAAAACATAATGAGATTTTACTTCAACAAGTGAGTCTATATTATTTTTTGTTAGATAGAAATCTGTTTACCTCTTCCTCTTTTAGATCTCTGAGAAGAAAAATCTTTTAGGAAAGAAAAAAACATATTAACTTTACCAACAGTTCATTAAAAAATAAGTTTATCGGGCCGGGCGTGGTGGCTCACGCCTATGTTCCCAGCACTTTGGGAGGCCGAGGCGGGTGGATCACGAGGTCAGGAGATCGAGACCATCCTGGCTAACACGGTGAAACCCCGTCTCTACTAAAAACACACAAAAAAATTGGCCGGGCGTGGTGGCAGGTGCCTGTGGTCACTGCTCAGAAGGCTGAGAGAGGAGAATGGCGTGAACCCGGGAGGCGGAGCTTGCAGTGAGCCGAGATTGCGCCACTGCACTCCAGCCTGGGCGACAGTGCGAGACTCCGTCTCAAAAAAAAAAAAAAAAAAAAAAAAAAAAAGTTTATCATTAGTCTCAATCCAACTACTAAAAGATTTGCTAGTTTCCCAGATATTCCCATTTTCTTTAGGTTCCATTTCAGAAAATAAAGAGGGAATGCCATGGCACTGTGCTCTTCACTCTTGTTGTTCATGATAGATGAATCATAGAGGTAAGAAGGAGAAGGATGGACCAAGAGTCCAAGTGTGGGGCATGGACAGCAAGCGAAGTGACTGAGTTACTTTCTCTTTTCTTTCCTCAACTCTCAGGGATCTATATGCTTGTAGCGTGTGTGTGTGTGTGTGTGTGTGTAATTATTTCCACATCCACAATCTCATAACCTTATAGTTCTGGTGTAGCTGGTGGGCCTGGTGTGGACAACTTTAGTGGCTTCCAGCAAGAATGAGAGGTAGCTCTAGTGGTTCTTGTTGAGTTCTGGAGATAGGACTAGTCAGAAAGAGAGAAAGAGGGAAGGAAAGAGAGAGAGAGAGAGAGAGAGAGAGAGAGAGAGAGAGACAGCCGAGGGAACATCTATAGGCAGCCCTGGTGAGTGGATACTGAAAGAGAACATTGAGTGTTGGGGCGTGAGGGTTAGGGATAGCCATGGTACATTGAAATTAGTGGTACTGGTGTGTCCCTTCAAAAAAGTAGACAGCGCATTGCCATCTTCTCATAACTCTCACGTTTCAAAACCTGAATTTGATATCCAGCTCCCTCCTCAGCTAGGTGAACTTGAGTAAGTCTCAATCTTTTGAGCATAAATTTCATCTTCTTAAATGGGGATAAGCTTTGTTTACCTCTTCTACTATATGGCTTTCAAAGTGTATTTTCACATATACTATTCCATTTCATATTCATTTTATCCACATTTTAAACATCCAGGAAATTGTTTCGGAGCGGTTCCTTAACCTTTCTAATATCTTGGAAGTAGACAGAAGATGGAAATGAATTCTTTTGATGGTCTTAAGAAGGAGAATTATTTACCTTTTCTGAGAAAAATGCACAATTTTTCTTGAGAAAGAGAGAGAGGAGTGATAAGCATTTGAATATTATAAAAACGAAAGATATGCTGACTCAACAAATCATGCTCAAATGGAGATGAGTTGATTCACACTCTAAAGAGTATATTCCTTCATTAACTGTCTAGTAGTTCCTAATCTATTTACCTCTACCATCCTCATAGTCCAGAAGTCTAGCACCTAGAAAAAAAGGGAGAGCACATGATTTTGCTTCTTGATTATTAATGAGGCTTTATTTAAGACTCTGAGAACTAATGTAAACATGAACTCCTAATGGTGAATAATGATGTGAATTAATTTACTTTGCAGGAACTAGGAATTGTGCATAAGCTACAAGAGCTGACGATGATAAGTGACTGTGTCAATCACCAATTTTATAATATTAGCCAGGCTAAATGATAGTCAGAAGGAGTTTCAGAGTTTCTTTTACCTCTTGATACTTCAGCAGCTAGTCTCCTGGTTTTTGCCTCATACCAATCCTGTGCTATCTTTCTTAACAACTTTGGCATCTCTCCAGACCTTTCCATGGAAAGTCTTCTTCAATTCTTCACATCCTGAAGTTGGTACTCTTCTCAATCATAATTACCCTAACTGTGTTCACTCTCATTATTCTAGGATACATTATATTTTTCGGTCCGGCCACTTCACTGAGGCCGTCTTCATGAATGGATTTAGGCTTTTTACTGAACCATCTGTTCCAGTGCCTGAACTGGAACAGTTCTCTGTTGCTGCTCTCAGACCACAGGAAGCATCTGAAGGGAGCCTCAGAATTATGCAGGCCTACCCAGTATTAATTAATTCTCCCCAAATCCAGTTTGGCATTCAGTACTGCTCAGAAATCTCTGGTAGATTTCTCCCACTCACTTAGAAGCAGTTCAGTTCATGCAATGGTGCACTATGCAAGGTTCTGGAAACACAACTGTAAACAAGACAGATTTCATTCCTGACTTGTGAAAATTCTATAAGTACTATATTTATTTTTCTCATGAGTATAAGTACTTACTTTGTTCTGAACTGTATCTGGAGATATACATTTCTGTGGAAGAATTAGGCAAAATGTTTTTATTAGTTACTTAGGAGAAGTGTTCTTCCTCTGATCAAACTCTTCTCACTCTAAGCTATGCTTCTTGCTTACCAAGGTGGTCCTCCTGATATAATGCATTGTTGTTCTCACCCATTTTCCACATCTCCCATCAGCCCTGTTTTACCTGTCTTTTCACACTACTTATGCTTTGAGGGCTCACAGGCATTGAGGATGGGAAACAGGGAGGGAATACAGCTGATTAGAAAGTTGTGGGAGAGAAACAGAAAAATCCAGGAAAGAGAGACCTTATGGCATAGAAATAGGTCTTAGCTTTTATGAGCTCCATCTCTATTTCATCGACAAGTACTACTCTGTATTTGTCTCTTCTTATCATCTCCCCAAATTAAGTCACTAAAAGTCTCCAATTCTTTTTATATAATACTAGATACTGGTGTTTAGCAACATACTGTCTTCTCACTTCTATCAGGTAATTTCCCTTGGAGCTCAGGTAATTTTCTTTTAAAATATTCTTATTACTTTTGCTAAACTCTGTGATTTTTTTTTTTTTTTTTTTTTTTTTTTTTGAGATGGAGTCTTGCACTGTCACCCAGGCTGGAGTGCAATGGCGTGATCTCGGCTCACTGCAACCTCCGTCTCCTGGGTTCAAACAATTCTCCTGCCTCAGTCTCCCGAGCGGCTAGGCTTACAGTTACCTGCCACCATGCCCAGCTAATTTTTGTATTTTTAGAAGAGACAGGGTTTCACCATTTTGGTCAGGCTGGTCTTGAACTCCTGACCTTGTGATCCGCCCGCCTCGGCCTCCCAAAGTGCTGGGATTACAGGCGTGAGCCACCGCTCCCGGCCTATCTGTGACTTTTTCTTTGACATTATTGATAATGTAAACCTTGGGAGTTAAAAGTGCAGGGACAATCACTAATAGGTCAGAGATTCTTTGACTCAAGTATTGAAACAGATTCCCAGAATATTGGCAAAGTCTCTAGCTGTTTGATGAGTGAGATGAACTCAGACTGAATCTTGGCATCCCTCCCTCCATGGTTTTCACAGGAAATCTTCATTTTGACTCATTATTACTCACCACTTTGCTTACGTCGTGCCCATCTTGTTAACAAAATAGCCAGGATGGCAAGTCCCAGTAGAGTCAGGATGACAGCCAAAGTTATTTCTGAAAACAAAAACTCACCTGTAAACATGCTTATTTAGACCAGGAAATTACCAGAAACAACTTCTGATCACCTCTTACTATCCACCAGATAGACTTTTTTTTCTTTCCCCTTTCTGCTACTTCAACTCCTTTATTCTTTTATTTGCCGCATATTACTGTCCTCACATTCCCGCCCCTGCCCATTTTTAGTTCTTTGGTCGTATACTAAGAACCTCAGATGCTGTGTACCCTTGGTTTAGAGTTGGAAATCTGACAGATTTCCTCCTCAGTTGAACCCTTTACTCCCCAGGCAGGAAGAATGTTAAAGGGAATCAGTGGTCTACGAAGCTATCCACTGGGGTATGGGGAAAATATTAGAACTTCTATTTTCTGTGTAATTTTAACTCATACCTTTAAAGTTGCAAGATTTTCTGTATATATATATATATATATATATGGCTATAAATAAGATTTATAAATATACTTTTATAGGCAATGCATACTCAAAACATTTTTATTAGTGAGTGATCAAAAAACTTTCAGCACCTTGACTGAAGGGTGCTGACTGAAGGTGGTTTTATTAATGAAAGCCACAGCAAAGGACAGAAATTTCTTGTCACAGAAAAACCTTTCAGTCATCACTTGCCAACCTCCTGATGATAAGATGGATATTTGCGAGGTTTGTTATTGTGGTTAGTAGGATAAAATATGCTGGGATTGCTTAACTTGTGTTTGTTTATGTGTCATTGATCTGCATTCAATTGATGTAAGATAGAGTCTTGCAGTCATAGGAGAGAAAAATCTTAGACAATATCATATGGTTATAAAGGGCAGTGGCTATGAAGGATCGGGGGAGAAAAAAAAAGAAAAGAGAGAGAGAGAGAGAGAGAAAGGAAAGAAGAAAAAAACAACCATAAAACTGCCTGTGAAAGTAAAAGCTCTGAAGAATATTGAGCTCTGAAAGACTAGGAAAGTAGATTACACCCACATTAAGACTACTTCAAACGAACAATAGGTGAATCCATCTCAAGATATAATAACACACCTCCAACCAGGGCAGATTAGGCATTTGTCTACTGAGTCTTCTAGGTGTTTGGTCCTGTGAGAAAATTCTCCTGCCAAATCAACTTTTGGAGATTTTCTTCTAATGTACCTCTAAAATGAACAGCAAGTAGTCAATATGCCCTCTATTATGTGAATTTTTTTTTCTAGTGTTAAATAACTCATCGGGGAGGAAAGGATAACTAGATGGTGTACTCAGTACTACTGTATATTCCTTTTCTTCCTTTAGTGTCTGAAATGCCCTGTCTATAGGGCGGTTAGAAGATGGTCCACCCTATTAATAGGGAAAATGAGAGGAAATCATTATTTCTGAGTTGAGGCAGATTATATAGAGTGACCATGCTACAGGAAGTGAGATAATGGGCTAAGGAATTTTTCCTAGTGCTACGGAGGATGGTTATTTTCTTTGTTCAGTTTAAACTCTAGAAACCAAAGGAGAAACCAGCACTATCAGCCTAGAGCTTAGTTAACTGTGGGTTGTTTCCCCCAGGCTTCCAGAGGAATCAATAAGAGTGAAAGAAAAAATATTGAATTTGAAAAGGAAGCAGGCAAGGAAGATAAAGCAGTTGTGTTAAAGTCCCTAAGTCCCTAAGAGGAGACTCCTGAACTACTAGAGTTGAGGAAGCCTCAAAGAGGGAGTTAGTCCATACCCAAGACTGTCATTTTCCATGTATTGTCTTCATCAGGTCTCGCATCATCTGGATTTCTTTGTCAGAGAGAGATCAAGGTAAAACGAAAAACTCAAGTTCACTGTTTCTGAGCAATATGAACTTGGGTGTCAGGGAGGCCCTTGTAGGCAGAGATGCAGAGGATCACTGAGAAATTGTGTGGAGCAGATTGATCAGACCTAAGCAAATGATGGGAGTGTGGCCTGTGAAGGTTCTAGAATCTGTGTCATAACAGAGACTTAGAACATTAGTGAGGCAGGAGAAAAGGCAGAGGATCAAAAGGCTAGGAAGATTTAATAATGCTTTGGAGGACCTTGAACTTGTATAGGATACTGGAAGGGAACTCACTCTATCTGGGCTTTAGAATTATTTCTAGTTTTTCAGAGATTTTTAAGGCCAGAGATTGTATATCATTAATCTTTGTAACTCTTTTTTTAAATTTTTTTTGAAGATAGAGTTTCACTCTTGTTGCCCAGGCTGGAGAGCAGTGGCACCATTTCGGCTCACTGCAACCTCCACTTCCTGGGTTTAAGCAATTCTCCTGCCTCAGCCTCCCAAGTAGCTGGGATTACAGGCATGTGCCACCACACCCAGCTAATTTTGTATTTTTAGTAGAGGTGGGGTTTCTCCATGTCGGTCAGGCTGGTGTCAAACTCCCTACCTCAGGTGATCCACCCGCCTTGGCCTCCCAGAGTGCTGGGATTACAGGCGTGAGCCACCGTGCCCAGCCTAATGTTTGTAACTCTTAAGGCAGAGAACCTTCCACAGAATAAGCATTTTATAAATGTTTGATAATTAAAAATGAGAAAAATGACTATATTTAAAAAGAGGCAGACTGGATAAAGAAAATGTGGTAAATATACACCGTGGAATACTACACAACCATAAAAAATAATGAGATGATGTCCTTTGCAGCAACATGGATGGAGGTGGAGACCACTATTCTAAGCAAACTAAAGCAGGAACAGAAAACCAAATACCATATGTTCTCACTTATAAGTGGGAGCTAAACAACAAGAACACATGGACACTAAGAGGGGAACAACAGACACTGGGGCCTACTTAAGGGTGGAGGCTAGGAGGAGGGAGACAGCATATCTCTTGGGTTTTATGCTTATTACCCAGGTGACTAAAGAATCTGTACACCAAACCCCCACAACACACAGTTTACCCATATAACAAACAATTACATACATGTACCCTTAAAACTAAAAGTTAAAAAAAGAAGAGCCTTGAAACAAATGAAGGTGAACAAAGGAAGTCAAGTTGTTGGAGTTAGATAGCAAGAAGAAATCCAGTCCAGAGGTCTATGGTGCTAGGAAGAGTGAGCCAGTAAATGGGATCTCATAAGCCACTGTGGAGAACAAGGAAGAGTAATAACACCTTTTATTGAGTGTCTATTGACTACAAAGTTCTATAGTGGGTACCTTATAAGCACAAACTTGTTTAATCCCTAATAAACTGTACGATGAAATTCTTTGAGATGGAGAGAGACACTAGAAGTTACCCAGCCAACAAATGGCAGAGTTTCTGACTCCAAAGCCCACACTGTATTCACAAAGCCACATTTTGTTTCAGTCTTCTATGCATCCTGTGGTGGTGATTTCTAAGTTAAGAAGTCAGTCACTTGAAGAGGAAGGTGATGACTTCTAGTTTTAGGATGCTCCACCTGCCAAAAATAATCTCAAAATTGTTGAGATTATTTTTCCATAAGTGTTTCATGCATACTTATGGAACACCATCAAACATACAAATATATGAATTATGGAAGTACCAAAAGAAGAAAAAGAGGAAGGGGCAGTAAGCTTAATCAATGGAATATTATCTGAAAATTTTCCAAATCTTGAGAGGGATATGAACATCCAGATTGAAGACGATCAAAGCATCCCAAGCAAGTTCAATTCAAAAAGGACATACTCCAAGATATATTATAATCAAATTGTCAAAGGTCAAACACAAAGAGAGAATTCTGAAAGAAACATCATGTGTAAGAGATCTCCCATAAGTCCATTACCAGACTTCTCAACGGAAACCTTGCAAGTCAGTATTTTTAACCTGCAGAATTGCTATTTATTTCTATAATTTCTCCTTCTGATATTCTCAAATTGCTGAGACATCATTCTTATACTTTATTTTTTAGACATGTCTTATTCTGCTAATTACAATGTCTGGGCTTCTTCAGAAACAGTTTCTTTTTATTATTTTCTGTGCATGGGTCATGATTTCTTTTCTCTTTACATGCTTCATTATTTTTTGCTGAAATCTAGACATTTTGAATATTATAATGTTGCAATTTAGAAACCAGATTTCCTCCCTCTACAGAGTTTGCTGTTGTTGCATTTGTTGTATTACTACTTGTTTGTTTGTTTAAAGATTTTTCTGATCTAATTTTATAAAGTCTCCATTCTTTCCTGAATGTAACGTTTGATGTTTCTGCCCGGTTAGCTTAGTCATTAGCTAATGATTGAACAGAGACAATGCCTAGAACCAAAGCAAACACTATGCTAGTCTGTGCCAAGGAACTCTGTGTGTGTGTGTGTGTGTGTGTGTGTGTGTGTGTGTGTGTGTTGAGGTACACCTTCAACATTCAACCAGTCTCACTTTTGCCCCTCCAACAAATGCCCAGTGAATTTGCGCCCAGTAAGGTCCAGGTCACCTTCTTCCTACAGGATTTAAAGCAAACCAAGGGGGATCTTGGCAAGCTTTCAGATGACCCTTATAGATATATAGAGGTTTTCCAGACTTTCACCCATATATTTAAACTCTCCTGGAGAGATGTTATGCTACTTTTGAATCAGACCCTGATGGACACTGAGAAGCAGGCCGCTCTGCAAGCAGTAAAGAGATTTGGGAATGAGCTTTGTATCACATATGGCATCAGGGAAGGGAGCAAACATTATCCAACTGGAAGAGAAGCAGTAAAAGTGAATGACCCTAAGTGGGATCCCAATGACAGGTGGAAGACTGGAAGAGGAGACGCTTTCAGATGTGCATAATGGAAGGCTTTTGTAGGACTAAGACCAAGCCTCTCAATTATACTAAGTTGTCCATGATCGACGAGGTATTTGATGAAAATCCTGCTGCCTTCCTGGAGAGACTAAGAGAGGCCTTGGTAAAGCATACCTGTCTATCTCCTGATTCAGTAGAGGGACAGCTAACCCTAAAGGATAAATTTATTACTCAGGCAGCTCCTGACATCAGGAGGAAGTTGCAGAAACGGGCCCTGGGACCGGATAGTACATTAGAGGACCTTCTGAAAGTGGCCACCTTGGTCTTTTATAATACAGACAGGGAGGCCCAGGAAAGAGAGAGGAAATACAGGAAAGAGACAGAAGCTTTAATGGCCACCAGGCAAGCCCACAAACCCCAGAATTCCCAGGGTACACCTGTTAACTACTAAAGATATGGCCAGAACAGTTATCTCATTCTAAAAGTTTATCCACTCCCATACAAGGTTTAATTTCTTTCACCAGGGTGAAACATCTCAGGGTACAATGTTGTTGTTAGTATATTTCACTTCTTATCTCTGTAATCTTTGGCACTAATTTTTTTTCCTTGTATAATACACGTATTTATTATAGTATGTATAGTATGTATGTATGTAGTTACAGTGTGTATAACTTGGGTATACATACCCAAGTATATATAATCCATGCATACTTAACCTTATAAAACTTGTTTTTTCTCTCACACCTGGAAGCCATCAACCTCCAAATGGTCAGGGAACCGGAGCCTTGGATGATGGCTCCCCTTTGCTAGGAACCCTTATATAGACCTCTGGGAAGAATCTGACTGCCGTTTTCCCCAAAACGATGCCCCTATCAGCAGGAAGCAGCTAAGACCCGTCATCATCCATATTCGAACAGCAGTTAGATGTACCTCTTCAGACAGGGGAGGTGATATAGAAGAGGGGCAGGGAAGTGCTGGTAAGGGAAGGGCATGGTCCCTGGCTAAGGCTCCACCCCTGGGCCTGTGCCCACAGACCTAGGTAAGGACAGACACTCCTGCCTTCATGCCCAAATGTTGCATTTCCCAAGACCACCCTGGCCTGCCATGCCCCCATCCTGTGCCTGTAAAAATCCTGAGACCCTAGCAGGCAGGGACAGAAGTGGCTGGACGTCAAAAGGAACACATCAGTGGAAGAACACACAAGTGGCTGGATGTCAAGAGGGACACATCGGTTAAAGATCATGCCAACAGGAACCAGCAGATGCTGGCACGCTGGCAGGCCATTGACCAGCGGAACAAAATGGAGTTTGGCCAGGGCAGTTGGAGGGGAACCCAGCTGCTGAGCAGCCTGACTCCAGGGGAAAACCACCTTCCCACTCCATCTCCCTTCTGGCTCCCCCATCTGCTGAGAGCCACTTCCACTCAATAAGACCTTGCTCTCATTCTTCAAGCCCACATGTGATCTGATTTTTCTGGTACACCAAGGTAAGAACCTGGGATACAGAAAGCCCTCTGTCCTTGCAATAAGGCAGAGGGTCTAATTGAGCTAGTTAACACTAGCTGCCTATACATGGCAAAACTAAAAGAGCACACAGTAACACATGCCCACTGGGGCTTCAGGAACTGTAAACATACACCCCTAGATGCTGCCGTGAGGCCAGAGCCCCACATCCTGTCCGTCTGTATGCTCTCCCTAGAGGTTTGAGCAGCAGGGCACTGAAGAAGTGAGCCACTCCCGCTGTTGCAAGCCCTGTGAGGGGGACAAGAAGACCTTTCCCATTTCAGTATCTTAGAAGGTGGTAACTGCTGTGAAAAGTGAAAAAGCAAGTCAGTGAAAGAGAACTACTGGCAGCTGCAGTGGGATTTCGATTTAAATAGATTATCCTGGATATACCTCTGTGAGAAGGCAATACTTGGGGGAAGTAGGGTAGACATCTAAGTGGATTTCTGAGTGAAGAGTTTTCCAGGCAGAGAAGACAACTACAGCAAAGACCGTAAGATAGGAATGTGTCTGGTGTTTTCAAGGAATATGAAGTGGCCAGTGTCACTGGTATGAACTGATCCAGGAAAACAACAGTAGGAAAATAAGTTAGAAAGATAATGGATCAGCCAGGCATGGTGGCTCATGCCTGTAATCCCAGCACTTTGGGAGGCCAAGGTGGGAAGACCCCTTGAACCTAGGAATTCAAGACCAGCTGGGGAAAGATGGCAAGACCCCGTCTCTACAAAATAATAAAAAAATTAGCCAGGCATGGTGGCATGCACCTGTAGTCCAGTTACTCAGAAGACTGAGGCAGGGGAAGACCCTTTGATCCCAGGAGGTTGAGGCTGCAGTGAGCTATGATTGTTCCACTGTACTCCAGCCTGGGCAACAGAGCAAGACCCCGCCTCAAAAAAAATTGTAACATCTAGTGAGCTACTGACAGGACTTTGATTTTAACTTGAATGAAATAAAGAGATAAGATGGGTCATTATGTAGGCAAATGACACGTTTTTACCTATGTCTGCATAAAGACATAAAACAATTTTGCTGCTGTGTTAAGAAAAGACAGTAGTGGGAGGAAAAGAAGAAGCAAGGAGACTACTGTTAAGAGTTATCCAGGCAATCATTGACAGTACCTTTGTCTAGTTTGTGAACTACTAAAGTGGTGAAATGCATTTAAATTTGTAGCAGTATTTTCCCCACTGGGGATAAGGGAATGACTGCCAAAGATTGCCAATACCTAGGCATTAAGGAGAACATAAATATAAGTATGGAATTTCATGCAGACCAGGGTTAAAGGGTCTAAGGATACACCTGAGACAATGTCTGAAAACTAAGGAAGGGAAGAAAAGTGAACAGAAATAGAGTTAAGTGGGAGTAGTTGTCAGAAAAGAAAGTAATGTCTAATTATACAGCTGTTTATTGATTAACAGAGGGCTTCTAAAGGGCAGTTATTTAGATAAGAACTTCTTAGATGAGAGTGCAACTTCGCTGAGCGTAGTAGATTCTAATCTTAGGCCCTTTGCCATAGACATTTTCTTTCCCTGATGATTTTTTTAAATCCATATTTTATATCTGCAAACACATTTTTCTTTCCCTCAGGTTCCAGAATCTGTGTCTCAAGCCTACGTGGCTTAGATGGGATCTAACAAGAAAAGTCTGTCCCCTCTCTGGGTTACTGGGTCCAACCAGTTGGCAAGTTTTAGCTCTGATTTTGTTTCTTAACTTCTAGAATAACAGAAATATAGGGTATCTTAGTATTTCAATGACAAACTCTGACAAAAGGATATATATCAGAGGTGGGGACTTTCAACAAATATTGGACTAGAGCAAATAAAACTGTCATATGCAGTTGGCATTATTGTGTATTTAGAAATTGCAAGAAATACTACAGCTAAATTTTTGGAATTAATAAGTTTACCAAGGTTATTAAATACAAGAATAATATCCAAGAACCAACACATTTTTATAAGACAGAAATGAAGAGAACATACAATTTGAAAAGAAAATACAATTCACATTATCATCAAAATTACACACTACCTAGGAATACATCTTTTTAAAAAGTTCAAAATATGTGGATTAAATGTAAAAAAACTTTGTCTTATAGATATCCAGATATAGCTATAGCTCTCTATAAATAAAGAGGCATGTATAGTTTTTAGAGTAAAAATAAATACATATTTTATTTTATTTTATTTGCTTGCTGCAAAACTTTTGTGACATATTGGCTCCTTAAGCAATATTTGGAAACAGGGTAATACTGTTGAGAAAACAAACATATTACATTTAGAGATTCGAAATGAGAATATATACTTTACAAATTAAACCACATACTTTGACATTTTCTTTAAAAACTACATTTATAAATTGTATGGTAACACCAATGTTTATCTATTCCCTGGGCCAATCTACTAAATTATCATGATATGGATAATAATCCTCCATGGCAATGTCAAAGATGGTATTTAAATAGACATTTGATAGATAGATAGATAGATAGATAGATGATAGACACACACATAAAATTTGTTTGATT
Organism: Homo sapiens; assembly: GCF_000001405.40. Classification (NCBI taxonomy): domain Eukaryota; kingdom Metazoa; phylum Chordata; class Mammalia; order Primates; family Hominidae; genus Homo; species Homo sapiens. Next base: position 3,619,797 of record NT_167245.2, read on the forward strand.
TTGTGTTTTTATTATTTCTATACCTGGAGTCAAGGGGTTAACTGAGCTAGGTGCAATCTGATTCTTTTTATTCTAAGTAAAATAGCCAGGCACAGAAAGACAAATACTGTGATCTCACTTATACATGGAATCTAAAAAGTCAGACTCATAGGAGTGGAGAGCAGAATGGTGATTACAGGCTGGGGAAGTGGGGCGAATATGGGGAAGATGAGAAGATGTTGGTCAAAGAGTACAAGGTTTCAGTTACACAAGAGCAATATGTTTTTGAAATATATTGCTAATAATAATGTATATTTTACAAATTACGAAGAGGAAATTTCAGTCTGTTAACCAAAAAAAATTGATAAGCATGTGAAGTGATGATTATGTTAATCAGTTTAATTCAATCATTCACTATATAGCTTAATTTAATAATTCCACTATATATAATATATAGATTTATTTTTATACTTTTATATATTTGTATATAGTTATATATATCTATGAATATGTAGTTATATATTATTTATATATAGTTACATATTAGTATATATATTTATAGTCTATAAATATATGTAATATATAATATACATTATGTTGTACATAATATATATGCTGTGTATGAAATATATATAAATAGTTTTGAGGTACATATATCTGTCAAAACTTGATATTATGCCTCATAAATATATATATTATTTTCTATTATAAAAGAAAATATTAAATATAAATCAAATTTATTTATATACCAGTAAAGCATATAAAATTATATAAATATTGAAAACAAACCTATGTAAATATAGATATACCTCTTTATTTAAAAGACTTCCTACAGCCATGGATTGGAAAACTTAATATTACTAAGGTGACAATATTATCCAATGTGATAGGGAAATTCAATGTAATTCCTTACCAAAATCTTAATGGCATTATTTTTTGGATAGAAATAGAAAAATCTCTCTTAAAATTCATGTGGAACATAAAAGGACCTCAAGTAACCAAAACAATCTTGAAAAACAAGAAACAAATTTGCAGGACTCTCACTCCCCAGTTTCAAAACTTAATACAAAGTTACAGTAATCAAGAGCACATGCAGCACTGGTATAAAGAAAAATACAGAGACAAATGGAGAAGCATTGAGAGGCCAGAAGTGAACTCTCAATTCATTTACCACGGGTGCCAAGACCATTCAATGGGGAAACGGTGGTCTTTGACAAATGGTGTTGGGAAAATTAGACACCCACATGCAGGAAGAATGAAGTTGGATTCTTACTTTAAGCCATGTGCAAATTCAATCAAATTGAACCAAAGACCTAAATTTAAGTGATAAAACTGTAAAACTCTTAAAAGAGAACAAGGGAAAAATCTTCATGACTTTGGATTAGGTAATGGCTTCTTTAAAATGACACCAAAAGCACAGACCACAAAAGAAAAATTACATAAATTGGGCTTCGTAAAAATTAAAAACTTTTGTGCATCAAAATACACTTATCAAGAGAGTGAAAAGAAAACCTACAGAATTGTTTGCACAGATGCAAAGATTCTAATTAAAACAGTAAGATAAATCTAGTAAAAAATACATATAATTAAGTGTAGTTTAATCTTAAAAATATAAATTTTGTAATACATTAATACAATTATGAAATTATATACCTAATATAAAGCAAAAACAAAATTAAAAACAAGAAAATAAAAACTATATAATCTTAGATGGCACAAACATTTTAAAATAAAAGTTAATATCCACTCATGATTTTAAAAATAAAACAACAGCAGCAACAATATCCTCTAGCAATGTAAGAATAGAAGAAAATTTTCTGAGTCTACTAAATAGTGCCAGGGAAGAATCAAAAGCTAACATCAAAAACAGTAGTGTTGTATTGCTCACTTTACCCCTAAAATCGAGAACAAGAAAAGAATGTCCTCTATTAGTACTTCCAGTAGTGAGGAGGACCTGGCCAGAAGAATAAAGCAAAATAATTAATTAATTAAAAGTAATAAAGATTGGAAAGAAAGAACACAGTATTGTCATTCACACATAATGTGCTTAAGTACTTAGATAATCGAATGGAATCTATAAAACCACCAAACTTCTAGAATAATTAATCAGGGATTTTAGCAAGGTCTCAGTGTACAAAATTAATAATGAAAATAAATTTTATTTCCATACATTAGTAATTAACATTTGGAAAATGAATATATCACTTACAATAGAATCAAATAGTATAAAATTCTTAAGAATATAGTTAACAAAGTATATGCAAGATACCTACACTGAAAACTGCAAAACCCTTCAGATAAAAATTTAAAAATACCTACATAAAGGAAGAGACCTAACAAAAGTGTTGTATCTAGACTATTTGAAGAATTTCTTCAACTTCATAAAAATATTAAATAATGCAACAAAATAGAACAAAGATTTGAATGAATATTTCATAAATGAAGATAGATGACTAAAGAATTCAACATAATCATCAGGAAAATGCAAACCAAAATGAGTTATTACTTTACACTCACTGACCTGGATATAATTTAAAAGGCTGAAAATATCAATTATTGGTTATGTGGAGTCACTGAAACTCTCATACATTGCTTATTTGAATGTAAAATAGTGCAGCCACTTTGGAAAACTGATTTGTAGTATTTTATAAAATTAAACACATACCTACTCTTTGACCCAGACATTGTATATGGAATGAAAAGTATAAAAGAAATGAAATATGTGTCCACAATAGACTTGAAAGAGAATGTTCATAGCAATTTTATTAATAATAGCCCAAACCTAGAAACATCCAGGTATCCATCAGCAGAAAAATGAGTGGAAAAAACTGAAGCATATTCATAAAATGAAATTCAACTTAAAATATTAAAAGAACATACACAGCAATATACATGATCTCAACATTATATTGAATGAAAAAAATTAGATACAACAGAGCAAATAGTGTATTATTACCATATGAAGTTAATGAAAAGGCAAAACTAAACTTTGATGATGGGAATCAGACTACTGGTTGCCTGTGAAAAATTAATGTTCTTTGTTTGGATTAAGGTATGAATTACTTGGGTGTATTCAATTGTTAATACTTATAATCTGTGCTTGTAAAAATACATGTCTGTAAATTATACTTCAATCATTTAAAAAAGAGAGATTACAAAATTTTGAGTTTGAGAGTAGAAATTCAAGCCTAATCTTCTTGAGCCTTTTAAGACTACTGGGTTGAAAGGGAGACAGACCCTAGCTTACTTTATAACACTGATGATATAGATTTGAGGTGAGAGAAAAAAAATATTTTTCATCATCCTAATGAAATTTATGTCTTCTCACATCCACAATTTTTTTCAATCTCATGTCTTTGGAAAATCCTGCTTCGCAAATATGGAAGAGAAAGCTATACCCTCCCCTCTAGGAATCAGAGGTTGTCCTAACGTCCTCTTTCACATCATTCTCTTCTATAAACCCAGTGTCCTTAAAATTAGTTAGGCCTATAGTCAAGTAAGCCTGTAATAATAAATATAGTAAGTGGAACTGCCAACCCTGTCTTTCCTAATCTTTTGAATTAGCAAAATATCCTTTATCCAAAGGGAAGAAAAGAAATCCTGTGTCAGGAGGACATAATTGCTATCTCTCCAGAAAAGAATGCCAATCCATGTATCTCTCTTTTTGTTTTTTTAGAGAGAGAGACAGGGTCTCTCTCTGTCACCCAGGCTGGAGTGCAGTGGTACAGACATGGCTAACTGCAGCCTCTATCTCCCAGGCTCAAGCAATCCTTGTCCTCCTGCTTCAGCCTCCTGAGTAGCTGGGACTACAGGCATGTGCCACCAAACTCAGCTAATTTTTTGATGTGTGTAGAAATGGGGCCTCACTATGTTGCCCAGGCTGTTCTCAAATTCCTGTCCTTAAGCTACCCTCCCATCTTGGCCTTCGAAAGTGCTCGGCTGTTGGGATTACAGGCTTGAGTCACCACACCAGCCTCCCTCTATCTAGAAACAGAATAAAGGTGAGGGGATAGGTAGGCAGGATTAAACAAACAAAAAACACTGTCCTCTGTGAATGATCGATTCAACCAAATTAAAGACCATGTATCAAAACCCTGCACCATTCTCTCTACTGACAATCACACTCTTGCATAGTCCCTCACACTATAGCAGGAGTGGTCTGTATGACCAGTTGACAACAGCAGAAATTATGGTATGTTACTTCCTATATTAGGTCATGAAAACATTAAAGTCTTCCTTCTTCTCCCCCACTTCCCTCCCCTCTTCTCTCTCTCTCATCATCTGTTCTGGGGGAAGTCAGCTGCCAAATCTTAAAGACACTCAGGTGGCTCGGTGGAGAGGCCTATTGGTGAGGAACTGAAGCCTTCAGTCAACAGCCATGTAATGAGCCTTCTTGTAAAGAGACCCCCAACCCCAGTCAAGGATTCAGATGGCTGCAGCCCCAGCCAATGGCTTCACTGCAACCTATGAGAGACTGAGCCAGAGCTACCCAGCTAAGCTGCTCCAAAATTCCTGACCTGTAAGATAATATGCAATTGTTGTTTTAAGCCACTAAGTTTCCAGGTAATTTGTTACCAGTAATAAATAATTAATTCACTAAGAATCTGTCATAAGTGTGGCTTCTCTCTGGATTATGATTACTCACTTACTACAGTGGTTCCCAAAATGCAAGCCTAAGCTGAATCCTAGTAGTTCTTCTTTGAATGCAGCAGCTTTGCCCTTGATACATGACTTTCTCTCAGTTCAATTGTATTAAATATTTGAAACACAGAAATGCCTGCCTGGACCCTCACCATGAATCCCCATCCCTTCTGATACCGGAATCTGGTTGCTATTTCTAGAACATTTCTCATCAAGACATTATCCTAACTTATGGTTTCATTGCTAATTCATAGACACTTGTCCCATTATAGAGATCTAGTGATTTCCATGTGAGATTTTTGCCCTCACACATGCCAATTCCCCTTGTTCTACCTGTTTACCTAACATCAATCAGATGTCAATAATGGAAAAGAAAAAAATCAAGAAGTAGGAGCTTAAGACACTGTGTACTGGCAGGGCTATTGCTTATTTCTGCCGTACCCCTCTTTCTTGTCATCTCTTAGTTCAGATGCCTTGGCCCTGTGCATAGTGTGCTCTATCTCATGAATCTGAAGTAAAGAGAATCAAAAGGATGAAGAGCTTTAAATCTTTTGACAACATTTAAGAGAGAACAGGAAATTTTCCTCCCTTTTCCTGGAAGTCTTTGCTGATGAATGAAAAATTGGGTTTCCTTTATGTAACCTGTCGATGGGGAGGCAAAACTTGTCCAGAAAAAATAAAAATGTTCTCACTGTGCTATGTTACTAGAATTGTGATCTGAAGCCTGGAGCAGAACTTACCTATGCTACTCATCTCAATCCTTTTAGGCAGTGGCACTAGGAGCCTTACTCTGTTCAAATTTGGTGCCTTCCTACCGTTATGGAAGGAAGCTCTGTATTCTCCTTACTTTCTCAACCTTTGATCCTAACAGAGGCAGTTTCTTTTTCTTTTTTTTTTTAATTGATCATTCTTGGGTGTTTCTCGCAGAGGGGGATTTGGCAGGGTCACAGGACAATAGTGGAGGGAAGGTCAGCAGATAAACAAGTGAACAAAGGTCTCTGGTTTTCCTAGGCAGAGGACCCTGCGGCCTTCCGCAGTGTTTGTGTCCCTGGGTACTTGAGATTAGGGAGTGGCGATGACTCTTAACGAGCATGCTGCCTTCAAGCATCTGTTTAACAAAGCACATCTTGCACCGCCCTTAATCCATTCAACCCTGAGTGGACACAGCACATGTCTCAGAGAGCACAGGGTTGGGGGTAAGGTCACAGATCAACAGGATCCCAAGGCAGAATTTTTCTTAGTACAGAACAAAATGAAAAGTCTCCCATGTCTACTTCTTTCTACACAGACGCGGCAACCATCCGATTTCTCAATCTTTTCCCCACCTTTCCCCTCTTTCTATTCCACAAAACCGCCATTGTCATCATGGCCCGTTCTCAATGAGCTGTTGGGTACACCTCCCAGACGGGGTGGTGGCCGGGCAGAGGGGCTCCTCACTTCCCAGTAGGGGCGACCGGGCAGAGGCGCCCCTCACCTCCCGGACGGCGCGGCTGGCCGGGCGGGGGGCTGACCCCCCACCTCCCTCCCGGATGGGGCAGCTGGCCGGGCGGGGGACTGACCCCCCCACCTCCCTCCCGGACGGGGCGGCTGGCCGGGCAGAGGGGCTCCTCACTTCCCAGTAGGGGCGGCCAGGCAGAGGCGCCCCTCAGCTCCCGGACCGGGTGGCTGGCCGGGCGGGGGGCTGACCCCCCCACCTCCCTCCTGGACGGGGCGGCTGGCCGGGCGGGGGGCTGACCCCCCACCTCCCTCCCGGACGGGGCGTCTCGCCTGGCGGGGGGCTGACCCCCCCACCTCCCTCCCGGACTGAGCGGCTGGCCAGGCGGGGGGCTGACTCCCCCACCTCCCTCCCGGACGGGGCGGCTGGCCGGGCGGGGGGCTGACCCCCCCACCTCCCTCCCGGACGGGGCGGCTGGCCGGGCAGAGGGGCTCCTCACTTCCCAGTAGGGGCGGCCGGGCAGAGGCGCCCCTCACCTCCCGGACGGGGTGGCTGGCCGGGAGGGGGCTGACCCCCCCACCTCCCTTCCGGATGGGGTGGCTGCCGGGCGGAGACGCTCCTCACTTCCCAGACGGGGTGGCAGCCGGGCGGAGGGGTTCCTCACTTCTCAGATGGGGCGGCCGGGCAGAGACGCTCCTCACCTCCCAGACGGGGCGGCGGGGCAGAGGCGCTCCCCACATCTCAGACGATGGGCGGCCGGGCAGAGACGCTCCTCACTTCCTAGATGGGATGGTGGCCGGGAAGAGGCGCTCCTCACTTCCTAGGTGGGATGGCGGCCGGGCAGAGACGCTCCTCATTTTCCAGACTGGGCAGCCAGGCAGAGGGGCTCCTCACATCCCAGACGATGGGCGGCCAGGCAGAGACGCACCTCACTTCCCAGACGGGGTAGCGGCCGGGCAGAGGCTGCAATCTCGGCACTTTGGGGGGCCAAGGCAGGCGGCTGGGAGGTGGAGGTTGTAGCCAGCCGAGATCACGCCACTGCACTCCAGCCTGGGCACCATTGAGCACTGAGTTAACGAGACTCCGTCTGCAATCCCGGCACCTCGGGAGGCCGAGGCTGGCGGATCACTCGCGGTTAGGAGCTGGAGACCAGCCCGGCCAACACAGCGAAACTCCGTCTCCACCAAAAAAATACGAAAACCCGTCAGGCGTGGCGGCGCGCGCCTGCAATGGCAGGCACTGGGCAGGCTGAGGCAGGAGAATCAGGCAGGGAGGTTGCAGTGAGCCGAGATGGCAGCAGCACAGTCCAGAGGGAGACTGTGGAAAGGGGAGAGGGAGAGGGAAGAGAGGGAGAGGGGGAGGGGGAGGGGGAGGGGGAGAGGGAGAGGGAGAGGGAGAGGAGAGGGAGAGGTCTAATTTACAAATACAAATTCTTATGAGAAAAATTTTAATTACTGAGGATGTTTGGTTTGAAAAGAAGATTAGTTACTACCAGTATTAGTACTATTGCTACTATCACCTCTGCTATTAGTGTTACTATAAATATTGGAAGCTAAAATGAACCAAGTGTTCATCACAGAGAAGTCATAGTATTAAGTTCCCTATACGCTATCTCATTTATTTCTCACAATAGTCCTGTGCTGAATGCCATAATTATTTGCATTATTATGAGAGTTAGGTGTGCCTGAAAGAAGCAAGGTAACGTCACCAAGATCAGAGCTACTAAAGAAAGAGCAATTATCAAGATTCAGATCTTTTTGACTACAAGGCCTGGGATTTCAATCACTAGAAATAAAGGTGTATGAGAAGTGGATGGCCCAGTTATTACATAAACCCACAGAAAATGAAAATGAAGAGGCTTAAATGAAAGTGGACACACCATGACTGGAAATACTATAGGACTTAATTTTAAGAACAAGCAATAACGTAACAGGCGTTTGAAGAATAGGCAGGACCCCATCCTGAAAACCTTACCCTGGAACACTTTCAGGTGTGACAGCCATCCTGGCTAGACAGTCCTAGCCTGGCTGGAATAGATGGTTACTGAAGATCTTGCCCAACCCTAGCCTTCTAGGACTTACACATCGTGTATCTCCTAGGACGGAACACAGTTTTACCTAACCTTCCAGTTTTCTCCCTCTTGTTTTTCTCCATTCTGCCTTCCCAGTATTTGCAGCTTTCCTCCTTTTTTTTTTTTTTTTTTTCCAACTATACATGCAGTGGCTGTTTCTCTGGATCCAGATGCAGCTCATCCCAACCTCATCCGATCTGAGGGTAGAAGATACACTTCTTCAACGGAGAATGTTCCCCGAACTGGGATGCCCCCACACACCAAGGACAAGGGGAATCCAAAACCATCTTCAGTGTTCTGGGTTTACCACAGGGGAGACATTACTTTACCACAGGGGAGACAGACATTACTGGGAGGTAGAAGTAAATAATGGGGACAGAAGTTGGACCAGGAACGAGATGAGCTCTGGGTGTTTGTTCAGCACAATGAAGAGAGAGTGGTGGTTTGTAGAAAGTCCAGAGAAGAATTTCTGCATGGTGACATGTGAAGAAGGAAGGGTCATGGCTCTCACTTCCTGCCCAGAGACTCTGTCAGGAGCCTCCCTGTCCCCCTAGAAGGTTTCCAGGACAGCAAGGCTGGAGACGTGTCTTTTCACAACGAGGTCGATTAGTCGCACATCTATTCTCTTACTGGAATCACCTTCTGTGGGATTTTCCATCCTTATTCTAGCCTTCAGAGTGCTGGCACATCTGTGACCTTCTGCTTAGATCATCATGAAAATTGTCCTGATTCTTTTCCAGTTACCCCTGTAACTTCTTTAACGAGTTGTGATAGAGATGTTGCCCAGGAAGCTAATGTTCTATTAGCATAATAAGCAGCGAAGTGTTGGCACCTCTGCTGTCTCCACTGGAGCATCTTCTAGGTACATTCACCAGGAAAGCTGTCCTTGGATGGTGAGTAGGTCAGTTTCACTAGGTGTGATTTCACTTTCTGTCAAAGAGGAAGAGGCAGAAAGTGAAGTGAGAGAACTGGAAAATGTCCAGGGAGATTTCCTCCGGTGCTGCTATTGGGGAAATACAGTCTCTTTGTGGGCAGCAACTATTTCTCACAAGAAAACTCCAAACAAGTTCATGGATTTCTCATCTGTTTTCATGCTGAGTGTGTGTTGAAGTATATAATTTTAAAGCTACATTTACAGGGAAATCTCTTCTTACTATTTTTGTTATCAAATATGGAGGAGGGGAGGCGTTTGAAGGGAAGTATTGCAGTAGAGTGAATTCTCACTTCCATTACCACTGTTGGAGATGCATAGGAATCTGTCCAAGTCCTTTAATAGCTCAGCGTGTTTGCTCTTCAGGCTCTAGTGTACAATCAACTGCTAATCTTGGACTTTGACAAGGGACGGAGAAGGCTCATGAATAATTGTAAATAATTGGAGGAGGAGCCCAAGCCTTCTGGAAGGAAAGAGCCCTTTTCTTTAATAAGTTCTCACTGGTCAGCAAGTCCAGAATTGTGTCCTATGTGAGAATGTGAATGAAAGAGGAGTCAATGTTGCAGTTTATACTTTAGGAGAGAAAGCAGTAAAGTAGAAATAAAGAAACATCTGTACCAAGAGTCATTGCTAACATTAACATTCTTTTTCTTCCTGACCTGTTCTGCCCACTGTTGAGGGTTTCCCTTGTCCTTGCTGCATGTAAGACTTCTCCAGCTGTTTATCATCAAGTTGTCTTCAAGGATATAGAATATGAGCTTCTCCTGCTTTTTGTTTGTTTGTGTATTTTTGTTTGTTTGTTTGTTTTTTCTTTGACGGAGTCTCGCTCTGTCACCAGGCTGGAGTGCTGTGGCACCATCTCTGCTCACTGTAACCTGCACCTCCCAGGTTCAAGCGATTCTCCTGCCTCAGCCTCCTGAGTAGCTGGGACTATAGGCATGTACCACCACGCCCAGCTAATTTTTGTATTTTTTTTAATACTTTAAGTTCTAGGGTACATGTGCACAACGTGCAGGTTTGTTACACATGTATACATGTGCCATGTTGGTTTGCTGCACCCATCAACTCATCATTTAAATTAGGTATTTCTCCTAATGCTATCCCTCCCCGCTCCTCCCACCCCACGACAGACCCTGGTGTGTGATGTTCCCCGCCCTGTGTCCAGGTGTTCTCATTGTTCAATTCCCACGCAGCCATAAAAAAGGATGAGTTCATATCCTTTGTAGGGACATGGATGAACCTGGAAACCACAATTTTTGTATTTTTAGTATAAGAGAGAGGGTTTCACCGTGTTGGCCCAGATGGTCTCCATCTCTTTACCTTGTGATCCACCCGCCTTGTCCTCAGAAAGTGTTGGGATTACAGGCGTGAGCCACCGCACCTGGCCGAGCTTCTTCTGTTAAATGAACCCTTTCTTCCTGATGATGGAAGAGATCCCCTTAGTTTTTCTTCTACAGTATTTGCAGATCTGTAAACCACAAGTGCCTCTAACAATCTGTCCTGTAGATGTATCTCCTTGGTGAAATTTCACGTCACACACTAAGTGGCAAAGACAGTATTCGAAGCCAGGAAGAATCAAGCCAGAGCCTAGTCCTAATTTCACTGACCCTAAAGGGAGGCTTACATATTTCATCAAGAAATAATCAAGGCAGGACAGAGGTAAATAAATGGTGATAAAATATTAATAGTTATAATCAAATGGACATGGTGGATGAGAAGGGATTTCTGGACATGCGAGCCCTAAACATGGGGGTAACAACAAAACAGGAACAAATGGGGTGGAACTGTGGTATAGAACACGAAATGTAACAGGTTCAGCCTTAGACATTTTACTTTTTTATACACTTAGGACATTCAGCATGAGGTTCAAGAGGAGTTTTTACTATCTCTTTTTCAGAGTCTAAATTCATATTTTTTCTACAACAAGATTCTTAAACTTGTCACTTCTTTACTCATTTTAATGGGTGTTTGTCCTTCTAAGCTTAGAGATTGGGGAGCAGTGGCTGCAGGTGGACATGGTAGAAAACGTGAAGGTGGATGGTTGATTGGACTCAGAGCTTTAGACCTGTCAGGGATAACAGTGTCCATCTTATTTTCATTTGTAGCTTTGAGTAAATCAATAAGTAGTGCAGGGTCTCCAAGTAGCCTATCCTTTCTGGAAAAGTGAATTCACCACCTGGCTACATCAATTAATTCTTTATTGCTGGACTACTCTGGCACTCCCATTTTTAGTAAAGTTTATGAAGGTATAATAAGACATTCCAAAAACAGAGTGACTCCACTGCAAAAAAGAAAGACCTGAGGGCAGGAATTATGTCTTATTAAGGATTGTATCTCTAGGCCTTAGCATAGTACATTCAACAGGTAAGATATTCAATAAATATCACTTTATGAGACAATTCATGCATTTTACAAATGTTTATTGATAATCAATGTATGTCATTTTTACAGGTTGTGGGGCTAGACAAGAAGGAAAAAAATCACTGTCCTCATGGAAGTTAAATTGTACTGACAAAGGAGGAAAATGTCAGGGAGTTAACAATTCAGTCTCTGTGGCTTCCTCCTGTCCTCTCCCTGAAACTGAGATCCAGCCAATCTGCACATTTATTCTGAGAGTGGCCCCACTTTAATGACTACACCCAGCTGTCTACACACCAGGAGGGGAGGGAACTGTATCCTGAGGCACCAACCCGATTACCCACCCAACAGCCACAGGGACTTCCAGTGACTGGGGCATCATCCTCAACGCCACCAACCCCTCTCCTTCCTGTGGCTTTTCTAACTGGAACTGGAACTCAGAAAGTACATTAATCACCAATTTGGGAAGCTATAGGAAAGTATGTTTTCTAATATACAGTGAGAGAATGTGACTGATAAAACCAATTTTCTTGAGACTTTCTCCCTGGAAAGTGAATATATGTATTCATAGGGCCTTCACAAGCACAGACTAACAAGCAAAGAGCTACATTCACTAGGAAGGAAGACTCAAAAGTAAGTGAAAAATAATAGATAACCTTTAGATGTTGTGCAATAAATTATTTTTAATTACATTAAATCAAAATAGTGTTAAAATATTTTCAGGTAAACCTAGTATATTTACTAATAAATTTAAGTCTTCATAAATATAAAGATAGATCAATGTAAATGTAAAAATCATTTGTTAAACTCCAGAGATTATATAAACAAAAGGTGAACCTAATGTAAAACTGTGGACTTTAGTTGAAAATAATGTGTCACTATTCTTTCATGGGTTGTAACAAATGTGCCACACTAATGTAAGATGTTAATAATAGCAGAAATAGGGGGGAGAGAGGAGGGATCTAGGAGCTCTCTGGATTTTCCATTTTATTTTGTTATAAATCTAAAACTGTTCTTAAAAATAATGTCTGTTAATTTTTTTTTTAAAAAGGAAAGAAGCACTGATACATGCTATGACATGGAAGAACTCTAAAAATATTAGGCTAAGGGAAAGAAGCCACATACACATACACATACACAGATAGTTTATGGTTCCATTTATATAAAATATTCAGAATAGAAAAGTTCATAGGGACAGAAAGTAGATTACCTGGGGAGTAGGGGGTGAAAAATGGGTAGTAACTGCTTAATGGGTATGAAGTTTCGTTTAGGGCGATGAAAATATTCTGGAACTAGAAAGTGATGATGATGGTCACACAGCAATGTCACATATACAATACCACAGAACTGTACACTTTAAAATGGTTAAAGGGTTTTATTTTATGTTATGTATTTTACCACAATTGAAAAAAATGTTTATTAAAATTAATGTGTAAACATTTGTGGAAGAATAATGTGTAGTTTCTAACATTTATGTGTTTAAATTTATGAGTTTAAAAATAGAAAAAAAAATGATGGCCCAGAAGAGCAAGTTCAGAGTGCTGTTCATGAGTGATCCGCATGGGACCGCGATGCCTCTGACGTCTGCCATCCTGGAGAGCAGCAGAGCGTCACTAGCAGGTCCTCGTCTTCTCACTTCATAACATTCTTTCCAAAAGTCTTGTTGACATTCTTCTGTCTTCCACATATAGTTTATCTTCTTGAACTCATTATAACTTTAAAATATTTTTACTGTGTTACATGTACTGCTTATATTTGTTTATTTTATAATTATTAATTTTAAATTGTGCACTTTATTTTGCTCTAACAATAAAATTGACATGTTCGTATAGATGATACATAATTTTTCGCTTGGATCGGAAAGTCTAAAATTTTTTTCCTGACTCAATTTCCTGTATCAACTTTCTCAAAAAGTCTGGAGGAGGGATTTTACAACACTTCATAAGATTTTCAAGATTATATTTTAGTGATCAGATTTTTCTCCCCCTTATGCAGCTGTATTTTCTTTCACTTTTTTTTAACTGTATATATATATTTTTTATTTTCTCAGTTCCACCTATGTGGACAATTAATTGTCACCATCTTAAATAAACTGATCAGGCCAGGTGTGGTGGCTCATGCCTGTAATTCCAGCACTTTGGGAGGCCGAGGCGAGTGGATCATTTGAGGCCAGAAGTTTGAGACCAGCCTGGCCAACAAAGTGAAACCCCATCTCTACTAAAAATACAAAAATAGGCTGGGCATGGTGGCACATGCCTGTAATCCCAGCTACTCATGAGACTGAGGCAAGAGAATTGCTTGAACCCGGGAGGCAGAGGTTGCAGTCAGCTGAGATCATGCCACTGCACTCCAGCCTGGGTGACAGAGTGAGACTTTGTCTCAGGAAAAAAAAAAAAAAAAAAAAAAAGAAAAGAAAAAAAAAAAAAAAAGAAACTGACCAAATCCTTGATTATTCCTTTCATTTCTTCCTGTAGGCTAAATTGTATTTCCCATGGGATTTTCTAAGGGTCCTTGATTATCAGATGTCAGATTGTGATTGATAGGCCGGATCTCAGAGAACCTGGAACAGGATAGGTCTCTGAAAAGATCAGTCTCCAGCAGATTTTCCTGAGTAGAATTAAAACACCTTGAGTTAGTACTTCAATGATCATGGCAGCCCCCTTCAAGCAGTTAGAGAAATGAGAAATGATCAGGACTCAGAATATCATTCTGGTTTCCAGAATCCCAGATTGTTATTTTCCTGATACGTTGGAGATGTTCTTGTGGGTACAGAAAAAATGTCCAGAGAACCTACATTAGGGAACCAAAGAATGAAGCGGGGTGCAGAGTCCCAGAGAAGGAAGTTTTGGGGAAGGTGTAGATAGGGCACTTGCCAATCATGTTATAAGAGGAGAGGTATTCAGAGGCACGGTCAGGGGGATTCTGACTTGTTCAGGGGCCACCTTCAAGGGGATGGGGCTTGGAAGAGAGGGGATGGCCCAGAACTCATTTCTTTTGCAATCCATTGCCTAAAACTCACTGTCAGGTGACACAGAGATGACTCTTTCTTTGCAACATGTGCTTGGCAACCTCCGGGACCCATCGCGCCCTGTTCCCAGTCTCCACCTCTCAGTACCAGCTCCCTGACAGGAGTTCCCTCTGGCCCATAGAGCAGATAGTCAGATCTCTGTGGGATATCTGGCTGCCTGAATGTCCATGGATCACACGCTTGTTCTGTTCAGAAGAAATCAGTCTCAGGTGAGCTGTGTTTGAAGCCAATGTCACATTCACTGTAAAGAAAGAGAATCCATTCTGATAATTAATCAATATAATTTCATTCTATTAACAGCCAAACAGGAAGACAAGTGTTTCACGGACATAAGAAATTTAAAGTGGAAGCACTTTCTAGAGCACACAAAACAGCCTCCCTAACACATGAGAAGTCACCAGCAACACAGAAATCACCAACAAGTAGGTCACCACATTTTTAAAGATCATAGGAAATTGTTCACGCCAACAAATCTCAGTGAACCTCAGCTCTCAGCCTTGAAAACAAGGATGGCTGTACTACTCACTTTTTTCTTCTTCTTCCCTAACCAGATCACTGGGGAATGGGCAGCAGGAAATCAAATCATTATCTTTTAATCATTTTGCTTCTATTACAAGTGGAAACACTGACCTCATGCATCACTGAGCCTGGATTGCATGATAAGCCCTGGGCTTTCCTGTTTCTCATGTTTCCTTAGTTACTGGATATTCACTGACTGCCTCCCATAGGTGACTTGTGAAAAGGGAGGCTCGGGGAAGTACGCAGTACGGTTCCCACTGCAGTGTGCTCCGCTGTTTCTGTTTCCCTGACTTACCTCTTTTCAGCTCCTCTTCCTGGGCAGGCCTACAGCCACAGCAAGAAGCAATCCCCAAACAAGCAGTGTTTTCCACAAAAACGTCATCCTGGACTCTAAAATGGAAACCCAAGAATCCCTTGAAACTGTGAAACTGGGACAATATTAAGATTGTACTTTTCATCTGAGCAGCTTCTAGGCTGGAGAGAAGGGAGAGAATTTGGCCTCCCAGGAAGCAGTTGGCCTGCTCCTCCCTGCTCTGGAGATGCAGAGGAGAGAATGCAAGTATTTCATGTTTGCTCGTCTCAGAAATGTACACATGCACAGACAAGTTTTCCCTTCTCTCTTCCAACTATATCACACAATCACTGGAATGACTTGAGGAGGAAAGGATAAAATTACTCAAGCCGCAACCATGAAGATGGTATTAATAAAAATCAGTTTCTAATCCAGAAGAAAATCCTCCATGAGGGGGAAAACACAAAGTTCTGTAATTTAATTGTTTTCACATCAGAAGAAGAGAATTTAAAGAGAGAGAGTGAAAACAGGGTCAATTACGAGAATTTAGTGTGTATCCAATGATAAAAATAATTGCAGGGCGCTAGTTGAGGGTGTCAGAGAGAAACTCAGAGGAGTAGAATCCCTGGGTGTCCTGAAAACCAGCTTTGCAGAGGATAGCAGGAGACCTCGTCAGAGAGCAGCAAATAAAAATCACAAAGGAAGAAGAGTAATACAATGAGTAAGTCTGAGTTGGTCTTCATATTTATTTTCCAAACCTGAAGGAACATAAGGAATCACCAACCTGAGAGAGAAAAAGTTGCGATTTTCTCCTCGCCCAAAAAGGGGATGCTGATGGAACAAGTGACGTCCACAGCGGAGATGTTTGTGACCCTTAGCAATGTCTGCACGTGGAACAGCCCGTGGCTGCCTTGAGTCAGGGCCTGGGAAGATGATGGTATCGTCTTTCCTTCCATGTCCCTCCATGGCACGTGGGGCTGTGGGAACCACCCATCTGAAGAGCACATCGGCTGCATTTCTCCATCTTCTTGCCCCTCCACAGTGATCAGTGGGGAAGAACCCAGACCTGGGGCAGAGAAAGCAACCAAAGCCTGGGGTCCTTTCAAGTGGATGAGTGGGCAGCAATTTCACTGGGAGGAAAGAAGGGGATGTGGAGGGCTTGGGGAAGGGAGAAAAGCTTAAGGGGGATTGCACTCCACTTAGGGATGAGGCTGGCTGGAGCATTTTCTTATTTTGTTTGTTTGCTTATTTTTATTCTTTGTATTCCTAAATCATTCTGGGATGATTAAGAGGTAAGGTAAATGTTCAAATCCAACATTTATTCTGTCCCTGAGAACAAAATAACTTCGGCCAGGGCATGGGTCACATGGACAGGATTAACATACGGAGTAGGAGGATATTCTCAAAAATCGAAACCTTATAAATATCTACGTCCAATGGCAGAAAATACGAGGCTCATGAAACTTCTCAACATGCGCTCCCATGGCTAAACGTGTTTATTAATTTAGAATCAAAATCCGTGGGAGAAACACGTAGCATATCCAAGACTTGGGCCTATATGTACTCAATGGCATCTGCTAACCTTGGACGTTTCAATTCTCACACACACGGACAGTGGGAAATGATGCTGCAGGGAGTGATTTCATCTTTTCTCCCCTGTCCCTGCCAAAACTGTCAATATTTATAATTTTGGTTTACACAGTGGATCCAGTTTAGTCTTCAGATGATTACAGTTTCTAGAATTTTATTGCATTTCTCAGAATTCTAATAACACACTGTGAAACAATGAGCCTTTTGTAAAATATGTAGTAAGATACTCAGATTTCCTTAAAGATATGGTCAATTTTTGAAGATACTGGAAAAGATACAAGTTATATGCCCAAATAATTAAATTTCATCCATTTGAGTTTGTGGATTTTAAGTAACTATGACAGTTTCACACACTGGAGGATTTGATATAAATTTGATGATGAATAAGCATTAAGAAAATTTCAAATGTCAGAGAAATTGTCCAGGAACTAGCATATTAAAGTGGCAGGAGCAGGTATTGAATACAAAATATCTATCTAGAATTCTTACTTACCACCTTCAGATCCAAACTGGCCTCCTGGTAGACATCATCTTTTTCAAAAAGGCAGCGGTACTGCCCGTCGTCCGAAGGTCTGGCACTGAGTATCTGCAGGGTCAGTCTGCCCTCGTCAATGGCGTCACTCACCAGTACAGTCCTCCCTCTGTACTCTGCCATCTGCTCTCCAGCCACATGGTCCCCATCCATATACACATGCACAGCAGGGTAACGGTGGGATCGGTCCCACCTCACCTCCATGCTCTGTGCATTCGCCTTGGGGGACAGGTAACAGGTTAGCTGTATATCTTCTCCCACTCTGACGAGGATGGGCTGGGAAGGTCCATTCACTTTTAAAGAAGCTGTTAAATAGAGTGGACAAAACACAATGAAAGAATCAAAATGGAACCAATAATGTCATCTCTAAGAACAGCTCCATTGGAGTTTAGAAACCATGAGCATCCCAGGGTTGCTGTGAGGCTCAGGGTCATCCTTAGGTGAGGTGGGGGTTTCATGGACTCAGAATAGAGGTTGCTCTTCTTTAAGGAGGAATCATTCCATGATGTGTGTCAGTCTGAGTAAAACAGTAATTGAATCCCTACCTGCTTCTACCTGTATTTTTTTCAGTTTACAGACCAATAATAAAATAATTTTGCAATTAAAACTCCCAGATAGGCTGGGTGTGGTGGCTCAAGTCTATAATCCCAGCACTTTGGGAGGCCGAAGCGGGTGGATCACCAGAGGTCAGGAGTTCAAGACCAGCCTGGCCAACATGGTGAAACCCCGTCTCTACAGAAATACAAAAATTAGTCGGGCATGATGGTGGGTGCCTGTAATCCCAGCTACTCAGGAGGCTGAGGTGGAAGAATTGCTCGAACCCGGGAGGCAGAGGTTGCAGTGAGCTGAGATCATGCCACTGCACTCCAGGCTGGGTGACAAAGCGAGACTTTAAAAACAAACAAACAAAAAACACCCAGAATAAAGTGAACAGTTTATAAATTTGGCCCCAGATGCCTCTGTACCTGACTCCTTATGTAACAAACTGCAATTTAACTTAGTACGTCAACTACTGAAAGCCTAACTTAGGTTGCAGTTTGTTACATAAGCACTCAGGTACAGAGGCATCCTGGGGCCAAATTTATAAATTGCTCATTTTATTCTGAGAGTTTTAATTGCAAAATTATTTTATGAATAAGCCTAACTTAGGAGCTAAGGCTAACTTAGGAGTACACTTTTGTAATAAATAGCTGAGTAGCAGCTGCTGCACTTCTGTTAGTTGCAGGCAGCCAACTGTTGAAACCCTGTTCAAATCGGCAAACGCCAGGCTGCAACCAATAGAGCTGTCTCTGTACCTCACTTCTGTTTTCTGTACCTCATTTCCATTTTCTGTCCATAAATGCTGTCTGACCAAATTGCTGCTTTGAATTCTCTGAAACCGTTCTGATTCTGAGGGATGGCTTGTTTATGAGTCATCCTTTTCTCAGTTAGACTCTGCTAAATTTAGTCTGTCTAAAGTTTTTCTTCTAACACTTCAATTCTGTATGATTTTAAACTACTTCTTAATCTGTCTTAAACTACTTCTTAATGCCTCAGTTTCTTAAACTGTAAATTTGCTATACAACTACCAAAATCATAATGTTTCAGAGTTGAACAAAATAGTTTGCATTAAGTGCCTGGAAGACCCTGCAGCGTGAGCAGAGGTGCACAGACCTGTGAGACTTGAAGGCGTTGGAGCCATCCCCACCCTCTGACGTGGTAATAGGGAGGGGTTTAAAAACGTGTCTCATGTGGACTTTTGGTAATGATATTTGAAGAAGCTTTCCTCTAGGTGGACTTTATAGTACCTTGTAAGTCTGGTCCAGCCGCTATATTTTATTTCCCCAATGCTCCACATAGGTGGAGTTATAGACACACACCAGTTGAATGTCCTCAAATAATTTTGAAAATTAAAATTAACATTTTAAGATCAATAATTGGGGAAGTCGGCAAAGTACAAATTGTGAAACAATGATGAATGTAAAAAAGGGGTCTAATTCTCCCACTGTGCAAAGTGGGGAAAGATGTTCTCTGAGGGCTTTCCTGGGCCCAAGCTATATTACATTTTCCATTCTCATCAGGCCCTGCCCGTGCCATTTTTTCTCTATTCTAAATTAAGTGTCGTCCTTTTCTGTTAAATGATAAGAATGGTTTTGCATAAGGTGTGATCATTTATAATAGAAACACAAGCATAAAATTGTTGGTTCTCTGCATAGAGTCACTGGCCAAAGGCGTTAACATCCCATTATGTCATTGGCCGAAAACTGCCAGCTACCTTTGTAGAGAGGAAAGTCCCTGTCAACACAATTTGAATTTTCAGATTATTACCTTCCATTCCAGGTAACAGTTGACTCCCAGTTATTTCCAGCATTTTGTTTGCTTTGTCCTGTAATTTTACCTAAAACAATATTATTTTCCTCTCCTATGTATCTATTAAAGTCTGAAGACAAGAATCAGAAAAAATGGACTAGGGATTAGTTTGGGGCTGTTTCTGCATCCACATGGCTTACGGTAAATTACTTAATAAAACAGACTGTTTCCTCATCTCCTTTATCCATATGAGGATTTTATTCCCTGTCCGTGTGTGACCTGTGCACATATTAGATCTTAAACTGGCTTGCCCTGCCTGACATAGGTAATTAAGAGCTAAAATTGACTTCAATGGAGACTGAAGGAAGCAAAATGTAAGTATGGAGATTCAATTAATTTGATGCATTACAGATACAGACAAAACTCCTTTTGTCCAGAATCCAAGTAAAACTAAAGTTTAAAGTGCTAAAAAAATCATGCAGCCCTGTTTGTTAATAATTGATGTTCTACTAGAATACAAGCTCCTTGGGAGCCACTATGCCTAACCCACTTTTTTTTTCTTTCAATTTTAAGTTCCGGGGTACATGTGCAGGATGTGCAGGTTTGTTACATAGGTAAACATGTGCCATGGTGGCTTACTGCACAGGTCATCCCATCACCCAGGTGTTAAGCCCAGCATCCATTAGCTGTTCTTCCTGATGCTCTCCCTCCCCCATCCCCCAACAGGTGTCCAGTGTGTGTTGTTCCCTGCCATGCATCCATGTGTTCTCACCAATCAGCTCCCCCTTATAAGTGTGAACATGCAGTAGTTAACCTCCTTTTTCTATACGGTTTTGTACACAGCCTTCCAGACAATTTTGTGCTGAAATATATTGCTTTGTTTTGTTTTGGTTATTGTTTGTATGTTCTGAATGCCTTCTGAATATCCACTGAAAAATTAATTCCCTTCTGGAGCGTGAAGTACACTGAATTATACACTGATTCCTTGAAACCTGATAATCTCATCATCATACCACATAATCCTCTTTCAATCAGCATATTCAATTAATGCACTATCTCATTTCTCAAATATGCTAAGTTATATCTAATCTCTTAGAACTGGACACTACATTAGAGATTAAATTCAACCTGTTCACTTTAAAGATGAGAAAAATAGAGATGAATGAGCTGACAAAGTCACACATAAGTAATTAAGGACTTGCACTGTTAAGTTAGATAGATGTAGATTAGAAGGTAAACATCACCATTTCTTCCTGATTTTTGGCAAACCATGTATGTCTCTAAGATTGTTTCTTAGCTGTAATATGAGGATAAAGCAATTAAACTTTATAATTATTGTAAGAAAAAATGAAATAATTCCCATAACATATTCAGCATCGTGCCTGGCATACAATTAATATTTTTAAAAACTATTATTTTTATAAATGAAAAACATTATTTGTAAGACTACAAGCAGTGATTTCAGTCTTAGGACTTCCATAGAGAGCTGGGTGTCCCATCATTAGAGCTCACCTGCAAAGCTTCCGTGCCCAGAGCCCTCCTCTCCCACCTGACAGGAAGCAAAGGGAAGCTCCATCTTTCCGTGTTGGTTAATTGTGGCCCCGGAGGTTACCATGACTTAGGAACAACAGGACATGGGGTCGTATTGTGTGTGCTGGGTCTCCAGTGGGTCTCAGAGAACTCAGAGGAGTGACTCTTCTCCTAAAACCTTCTTGAGAGACAGACTTGTGTCAACCTGCCCCAAACACTGGCTTTACTTCCTGATCTCAGAAGGGTAAGATACACAGGTGTGTGTCTCTCCTCAGATTGTGGAGTTACTTTGCGCCTTCCAGGGACCCTTCCCTTTATGTTTATGGCCTAATGGGGTTGAAGGTGCCATAGTAGACTCTGGTAGAGATTGGGTTGTGTTTGTTACCCTGATTTTCCTCAAAAACTCTTTTGTGGGCTGAAAGGTGTGCTTAAGCTCACCTAAAGCACACACATGGATACACATTCCTGGAGCAGGTGACTTGATGGAGAGCAAGGAATTGATGGAAAGAGCACATAAGGGATCCACGTTCTATGCACCTAGGCAGGGAGGCAGGCTGGTTGCCTTGGGCTGGGAGAAGAGGCCATAAAAAGGAGGGAGCTAGTAAGGAGGTAAAGGGGAAACTCAAAGGGGCTCAGCCATCGGCTGGTTATGTTTTAAACCACTTATCTCAGGTGCAGCAAAATAATACCCTCAGTCCAACTCCGAGATTTAAAAAACAAAAATTAGGCTGGGTGCAGTGGCTCATGCCTGTAATCCCAGCACCTTTGGGAGGCCAAGGCCGGCGGATCATGAGGTCAGGAGATCGAGACCATCCTGGCCAACATGGTGAAACCCCGTCTCTACTAAAAAAAAAAAAAAAAAAATTAGCTGGGTGTGGTGGCGCATGCCTGTAGTCCCAGTTACTCAGGAGGCTGAGGCAGGAGAATAGCTTGAATCCAGGAGATGGAGGTTGCAGTGAGCCAAGATGGCGCCATTGCACTCCAGCTTGGGCAACAGAGCGAGACTCCGTCTCAAAAAAAAAAAAAATGCCTGGCGTGGTGGCTCACGCCTGTAATCCCAGCACTTTGGGAGGCTGAGGTGGGGGGATCACGAGATCAGGAGATCGAGACCATCCTGGCTAACACGGTGAAATCTCGTCTCTACTAAAAATACAAAAAATTAGCCGGGCGTGGTGGCGGTTGCCTGTAGTCCCAGCTACTTGGGAGGCTGAGGCAGGAGAATGGCCTGAACCTGGGAGGCGGAGCTTGCAGTGAGCCAAGATCGCGCCACTGCACTCCAGCCTGGGCGACAGAGCAAGACTCCGTCTCAAAAAAAAAAAAAAAAAAAAAATTGCTACACTCACAGTATCCCAGGTTGCACTCAGAAAGTAACAGCTCCCTCCCAATAGTGATTAGCTTAGGGGTGTACTGGGGTGAGGAGCAGGTGCAGGACCCCATAGCAGAGTTGAGCAGGGAGGTGCTGGGTGCAACCCAGGTTGTCATAATGATGCTGCCCTTGTTCACACTTGAAATGTTTTCAAAGGGCCTCCAGGCCCCGGCCAGCTGTCTGCTGTCATCCCCCACACATTCTGAGGCAGCTCCCTTTCCCCTCAACACATAGAACAGAGATGATGCCATGCTTCCTATAGGTGTCCATCTGATGCTCACTGGAATCTCCATGAGCCCCCAAAGTGTCAGGTAACACAGCTGCAACCTCCTTGAATGAGGCCATTACTTTGCTGGTCTCCTCTGGTATTTAATGAACATAGGACCTGGTAAAATCGTGCCTCAGTTTTTCCTCTGGGTCACATGGTCTCGTGGTAGCTCCCCTCCCTCTGCTGGGGAGGGCAGAGGCTCCCTCCACAGGTGTGTGCCAGCACCTCGTACTTACCCAGCTCAGTCTGGAGTTTCTCTGGAAAAAGAACAAGAATAACATATTAAGGAATTTGGTGTAAGGGAAAGGAGAGAAACTATTTTTTAAAAAAGAAAGCAATTTATACATTATATAGGGAAGCTCAATTCATTAAAAAAATGAAATGCAGAAAAATACTGATTCTTTCCCACAGATTACCCAATGATACAGCTTTTTTTCCTTTTCTCTGCACAACAAAAATGCTGTCACTTCTATCTCCCCATGATTCTGTTGGTTTCTTCTGATATTTACAGCATAAATACTTAGCTATCAGCATGAAAATAACATATGTTCCTTTTATAGATACACAGAAAGTACAAAATTATATGGACATAAACAGTATCACCTAAATTACAAAGTAGAGAGACGAATTATATGTAATATACAATCAGCTTCATTTAAAATTAAAATGTAACATTAACTTTAAAGTTTTTTTAATCTATCCATTTATATGAATAACTGTATACTTATATCCAAATGTGGAGGGTATCCTGAAAGTTTTAGTGCAGTTATAAGTTATTTAAGGCCAGTAACTTTTATGTGATTGGAAATGTCAATTTATAGGTAGATGTCATGTTTATCATTGAATAGTGCATCATGAGGATTTTTTTCAACCATTAAAATTATTTAAAAATATCTTTTTATTAATGCTATAATGTATAGTAAGACAAGATTCCACACTGTACTGTTGTATTGGGGGGTTGGTTGTTTTTGCTGCTATTTATAAATAAGGCCATAATTAATATTCTATTATGCAAATAGTTGTCTACATCTCTGATTATCTTCATATGATAGATTTCTAGAAGTAATCAGCACAAGACAGCATAGGAAAACATTTCAGTTGAAGAAATATAGCTTTATTTTCTTTACAATGCAATGAATACTTGTGAGTAAAAACAATCAATGCAGAAGAAGGAAAGGTAGAACTCAAAAATAACGCAGGCGCCATAACAGCTATTCAAGTAAAATGTAGTGCGTATATTTCCAGTCATAAATGTTTTATGGCTTTCAATACATATTGCTATATGATAGATAATGTCTCTTGATAAAAATACGAGGTGCTATGGTGCAGTCCCTGGGACCTCTCCTGCTGATCTGAGCATGTGGGTCCTAGAGGCAGAGCACTGACCTGGGAGGCTGATGACCGACCCCTTCTCCTCAGTGAGGACGGGGTTGTGGACCAAGCAGGACACAGACTCTGCAGAGGCGTTCCTGACCACCAGGGTGGCTTCCGCATAGAACAGGCCATCTTTATCTTGGATGCGATGCTCAGACACGGCCAGCAGCTTCTCTCCCCGGATGTCTTCCCAATACACCTGGGGCTCTGGGAACCAGCCCCTTGCAGTGCACACAAGCTGGACTCCACTCTCCCCAGGTCCCTCCATGTGGATGCTAGGGGCAGACCCCAGACCTGCAGAGGGAAGCCACAGCTCTGACACCCAGAGCCCACAGAGGCAGAAATCACAGAGGCTGAGATCCCAGTGACGTTGCTCACAGGGAGGTGGCCGGAGTTCAGGAGTCTGAGGAGCAGAAAGTCGACCTCAGTCTCCCCATTCAAATGTGAGTTCAGATACACTTTATTTGTTCCCCAGTCTGGGTCTTTACATTTTAGCATCTGACCAGTACTTTTCTCCAGATCCAGAAAGGGGAATCGGAGAAGGGGGACATCATGACATTTTGCAACGCCTCTAGCACTGCAAACAGAGATGAGCTGTAATTTATTCATTAATTCCTCTGTGCCATGAACTCTGCCTTTTTCATCTTAAAATTATCTGTATTGGGCACATTGTCTGGTATTTTAGATGATGTCTTGAACTCCAATTTGATTGAAGATTTAACACAAAGTCAGAAATCACTCCCCAGGGGCCTGTTCTTCCTGCATCTTTTGCTGGTGGCTGTGATCTTCGGAAGCAAGTGGATAAACGGGAGCATGTGAAATGCGAATCTCCACGAGGCGTTATTTGTAGCTAAATATTCTATTCAATGGGTAAGATGGTTTTGAGAAATCCTAGTTTACAACAGTTTATGAAATCATGAATTTTTTTTCTCTATTTAACGTGAAACTCCCACACCCAAACTAAGGGGACTATATTTTCCATAAATGGGAATTCTGTCTTAATCACTTGCTGGTAAAAGAGAGATCCACTCCCTTCCCTTGGACCCTTAGAAAATGTGTGACTTATTTGTAAATGTTCCTGATATTGAAATACATCAGTACGTTCCCTGTCCCCCCATGTCAGAAATATATGTATTCCTCCATCCATTTTGAATCACCTTGAACACAGTAACAGTAATGGATGTTAAGAAAAAAAAAGGTATTAGGAAACAGCCTCCCAGGGAAGTAAAGAAGGAAGCAGTATCAGCTGGAGACGTTAACATCTCCAGAGAACTATTTTCCCCATTTGCCTTAGTAATTGGATTTACTTGATTTTCTCTTTAGAGCATGGAGAAGTTAGCCCTGTCAGGGAATCATATGATAGTTTACTTTTCATAAGACAGATCCATTCTTCAGTTGTCCCCTTCTTCCCTACTCCTTCCTGCTTAGCTAATACAACAGCAATATGAAGAACCTTCCCATTCACAGAGGGTGTGTCCAAAAGCATCTGTGAGTCCCCAATTCATTGAACACTAGTATATAACAATCTCCAAAGCACGACATTCTTAGCCTTTTCAGTCTTGTTGATAGCTTTCTAACTGAGGGCATTTCACAAGGAAAGAACATTTTCACGTCTCAGTTTCTGCATAGATGGGATTGGGTAGAGAAAAACCAATGCCCTGAGATACAGATGCCGGACGTCAGCTGGGCTCATTCATGCAGCAATTGGTTTGCTCTTGCGCACCAGCCTTAGGTAGCACAAATGTGTGTCTCAGCAAAATTGCTAAAGACTGCATGTCATGGATTCCAAATAATCCTCAAGAACAGTCAAAACTGTGCAAATTAAATTTGGGAAAATATTTTAACACTAAGCTTGAAGACTCCAGAACCACTTATTTTTAAATCAATCAGGGTAGAGGACTAAGCATTAGGAATTACCTTGATGATTCAAAAGGATTTCCTCAACTGTCACAAAGCTTACCACAAATTAATATATCTCTGCCTCTTGAGACCCTGTGTCTTTCCCCAGATATTCACCTGCTACTTTGAGCAGCAAGCTTGTTTCTCCACAGTAGTTCCCATCCTGGAAATGGCACCAGTATTGTCCATTGTCGGAGGGCTGGATGTTGTGTATCTTCAGTGCCACATTTCCCTTTGCAATGCCATTCTCTATCCACTCTACCCAGCCTCTGTACTCCTCCATCTGCATCTCAGTCACCTCCACTCCATCCCTGTGCACAAACACAGGTGTGCTGGGCTCTGAGCGGTACCACCTCACCTCCACGTGCATTGTGGTCCTCTTGGGGAGTAGCTGGCAGGTTAACAGGGCATCTTCCCCAACCCCGGCCAGGATAGGATGAGCAGGGCCAATGACTCTAAAGTCTTCTATAAAATAAGTGAAAAAGAGGAACGAGGAAATGCCAATCAGAAAATCATATGCATGCTTTGGGGTGTCCAGCCTGTCAAAATGGAGGCAACTAGAAGAGGGAGAGATATATGTTTAATGTTTTAGAGAAATCCAGCATGATGATTTGCACATCTGTTTGTTACAGAGTCAATTTTGTGTACTGAAAACAAATGCAGTTCAAAAATGTGGGTGAGGTTGCTGTCTGTCACCTACCAGCTATGTGATTCGGTGGCAAATCTATTACTCTTGGTAAGATTTTGAGATTTGAAGTCCTAATTTCTTCATCTTCAAGATATTAATACCAGCATACCTGGGTTGTTTTTATTCTCAAGTAAATTATTTATTCCTTGAGTCATTTATTCTCATGTAAATTGACTTTTTAAATTGGAAACCTTATTCTTGTTATTAACATTTTATTTTCCTGAAGTTTAGATAATAAATCCATTTATTAGCTTTTTTTAGCCTTTCAGGATTCCTCTTCTCTTAGATATAAAAACTGTTTTTTTTTTTGTTTTTTTTTTGTTTGTTTTTTTCCCGTCTGGAGTTGGCAGGAGGCCAATTACTGGGACTATGTACAATGCAGTTTTCACAAGGACATTTTGTGCTGGATTAAGGACACTGGTTTGTCTAGAGATTTTTGGGTCTTCCAAACAAATTCTAAGACATGTCTGATCTCTTCCTTGTTATCTGCAAATTGAAGAGATGTTTAACGGTTATGTATGTTATTATGTTTGATCATTTTATGTCATGTATGATATGTTCTTTCTCATTCTAAATGCTCCGGGGCCATTTGCTCTTTCTCTGTGCAGATCCAATCCTGCTAGGAAGAACCTCACCCTACTTAGCTGCTGCTGGGTATCAAATAGATGCTGCTCAAAAGGTGGCTAAAGAGCCTAAGTGGAGATCTGCTTGTATTCTTCATTGATGAAGTCTAAATATGAAGCTAGAACTGAAGACATTCCATCAGATTGACTGTTACAGGGTAGGGAGCTGCAGCACAAGCACAGAGAAGCCAGCAGCTTCATCACATCACACCAGCTCTGCAGCGCCAAGGCAGACACACCAGCTCTGCGGCACCGAGGCAGACACACCAGCTCTGCGGTGCCGAGGCAGAGCCTGCGCCCTCTGATGCTCTGTGTCGTGTTTTTTCCCACTTCGCCATGCTGCATTTTCCTTAGGGCTCTGACATCTCCTTCTGACACTGATTTTTTTTTTTTGACACTGAATTTTTAAATAATTATTTTTCAAGGTGCAACATTTTGACGTCAAAATTCAGCTAGTGAGATTTCCAAAGTCCCTTTCTTCTAATTTCTTATTTCCAAGTATTTTTTTTAATTGCAGCTTAATTTATGATAAGAAGCAGCTGCATTTCTTGACCCCAAAGTACTAGAGTGAATTAATAATTTAACGTGGTGCAACCACTGATTCAAGTGCTTTTAATGTCTCATTTAATCCTAAAGCCTGTGCTGGCCTCTGAGATGTAGTTACTGCTGTTATTCTCATTAAAAAGATGAAAGAACTAAGGTATGAGGTGCTCAAGTAACTTTCCAAAGGTGACTCAGCTAGGAGTGGAGGAGCTCCTGGGAGTGGAGGAGCTCCTCAAAAGTGAGGAGTTCCTTTTTGGATACAGGTGGCTTGGCCCCAGACTTACACTCTTAGATGTTGTTCTCGACCTTTGGACCCAGACTAGCTCACTGGGACATTAGACTATACAGTAAAGGGAGAAGGGAATCCTACCTGACTGCTTCATTGTCAGCAGGATGAATAGGAAGGAGGCGACTGCACCAGACAGATTGTAGCCTGGAAAATCCACCATCCTCCCTGGAACAAAGACAAGGAAACGCTGTGCCTAAGTGAGGCTGTGACACACCCGGCACACTCCATGGCTTCCATTGGTTATGCAGTCTTAGCAGAGAATCCACATCAACCCCTGCACAGTCAGTGAAATGGGCTTGGCTCCATTTCTCTGCAATTACTGATCACATCCAACCCTTTACCTAACGTGTTATATTGTGAGACAATGTAGCAAATGTAAGAAGCCTTGCTTGCTCATTTCGGCTTGCTAGCATACTTTCACAAAGCCCCTGCTGTGATGACCTGCAGTTCTCCAGAAAGATGCTTCAAAGACAAAACAAGATTGAGCACACGGCCTCCCATCTCTCTTGCCTGAGTCACTCTACTCCTTAAAAGATAAGCAATAATAGTCCTTGCCTTTTCCTACACATAAGATAACGTCTGATTGAAGGATACCTCTGTAACCTATAACCAGATCTGCTCATACACCCAAACGTTGATGTAGTTCGGCTTCAATGTAGCTTCTGAGCTAATTTGATGTAGTGGTTAATATGTAACCTCCTGACATCGAAAAGGATATGGATTTGTTTCTGAATCATAAAGTTTTACTGATTGTTTTGTGCATGAAATATTTTAGTCTATATATTGTCATCTGTGTCCAATGATTGTAACCTCTGTATTGTACCCTCCAGTGAAAAAAGACAACTCCAATATGAAGAGCCCCTTTCTTTCTGCCTGAACTTCCTTACAAAAGCCTTCCAACTTGTAACAGACTTTGGACCACCCTCAACTTCGTTGGTGTGTCTTCCTACATCAGTCCTGACATTTGCCTTCCAATAGAACTTTATGAAATTATTCCTGCCTCAACAACCCTAATTTCATGAGACAATATTTTAAGCAATTTTTTAGGTGTAAGGAAGTCTTGTGACTGAAATGAAAAAACACTTGAGGTAAAGGAACAATAATATTAAAAAAACCCCAAACCAAACCAAAGCAAACAAAACTCCTTAGGTTCATCTGTTGTGAGCTTGCAAAACTTATAGAGCAAGATTCAAATATTTTTTCCTGTCCTCCTCCCAACTCCTCCTGCAAAGCCTTTCTTTACCACTGTTTTCTACACATGGAGGAAAGGGCAGGAAGGCTCTGCGTCTCCACACTGCAGCCAGAAAGCCAACATTCAGTGCTAGCGCTCAGAGAACCCGGGACACAGAGATGCCGTGGAAAGTGAAAGAAAGAGTAGTAGAAAGATAGTCGGGAAAATATCTGTAAGTGGCCTTTTAGAATAGACTTAAAAACACGAATGAATTAAAAAAACAAAAAGCCCAACTGGCAGAAACTGGCAAACCCAGCAACCCCACTGTCCCAGCTGAACAAAAATACTTCACACAGCTAAAAACTTTAAAACTTACCAGGACAAGGATAGAAGGCTAGTTTTACCATTGAAAAATACAAACTTCAGAGTGAAAGAAGTCTAAGACTTATTATATGTGATGTGTCAAGTATTTTATTGAAAGAAAACTTGCTTCACACAAAGTAGAGAAACCAGCTCAGGAGCAATGTCAAGTCAATTACAGTTTCCCCCTTTCCAAGAACCTACTGCTAGTAAGATTTTATGGGACAGGGGTAAAAATCAACATTCTGAAATGGAGATTTAACAATCAAATGAGTCAGGAGATTGTTGTTACACAAATATTGCCCATTTGCTTTATAAAAAATATGTACTTTCATATAAGATATCTTTAAGGAAACTTATATGAGCCCATTCACAATACCTAGATCGAAAAGGGCAGTATGATATTTATGTGAAAATGGGGTTGGGTGTTAGAAGACAGTGCAGACCATGAGCACCTTGCCACCTGAAACTTACCAGTCACCTCCCCTTAGACTGAAGGGTGTTGCTGATGCCTCCTTGACTCCTTTTGTGAAAAGCAGGAACATTTTTTTCCACCAAGTAAGAGTAAAGAAAGCCCCACAACATCCATACCAAGCATGATTTCTCAGCCGTGTGAACTAAAATGAACTCACACTTGCTACAGACCACTTCAGAGGCTTGTGTTCCTGTAGGTCTTTCATGTCAAAGCGGTGGGAGGGAAAATCTACAAGTGAACTCTCAAAAAAATTGCTCAAATCAATGAAGCTTTCGAAGAATGTTGGGAGAATCCATCTCCAGTGCTCAGATAGATTGTGAGAGAATATATCAGGGAGGATAACCACCTTGGACCAGGGTTCTTAATGGGGAAAGAGGCTGTTTTGCCCTTAGAGGACATTTGGCAATGTCTGGGAACATTTTCAGTTGTCACGACTGGGGGAGGGGACATATATTGAGTAGAAACCAGGGGTGTTGCTAAACATTCTATGAGGCACGTGGCAGCCCCCACAACAAAGAGTCATCCAGCCCAGAAGGCCGGTGGTGCCGAGGAAATGCCCTGCCACAGGGTTTGCTGTCAGGATGCTGAAAAGCTTTGGCACATTTTTTGAAAATAGATAACTAGACTTAAATTGCCATCTTTAAGTAAAAACCTTTTAAAACGATAAGCTTTTGACCCCTCCGTTTTACTATTTGGATGTAATGCAAGAATCTTCTGAAACTGTTGTTCCTATTAAATATAGTAAATTTTGGTGTTGTCAAGATATATGATCTAATATGCAAATGTATCATCGAATTCTCAAAAACCCATGTTTAATTTAATTTAATTTTCTGGATAAAGTATAAGTGTTAAATTGTAATAATAAGTGGTAGCTTATGTTTAGGCATTAGATGATGAACAATTCTGAATTTCAAGGCCTATCCTGCACTGCTAAAACTCATATCAAAGAAAATTGCAAATTACTATGTATCATGGGTCATTAGAACTTTTTTCAGTAAAAGCCTCAAATGTTGCTCCTCAAAATGCCAAGCAGCCATAGTAACTGACTGGTAAGAATAAATTAACTTAGTTCACGAAGTCGAAAGCTTATGTATCTATGTAGACATTAAAAACAGCTATAGTTTATCATATGTTAATACATTTTTATAGAGAAAGCTAAAATAAGATTTCTAGGAGACAAAGTGAATTGGGTTTTTGTGTGTGTGTGTGTGTGACCTTGGACATCTTTCTTTACTTTCTTGAGCCTGTATTTTCTCTGCTGTGTGGTGGAGACAATCATCCTAACGTTTTCCAAGCTGTGTCATGACCATGTGACAGAAGAAGACGTTAAGGCTCAGGGACACATGCCCCACATCATCCATGACAAATGAAAATGTGATCCTGGTTTTCTTGTTTTTAATTTCGTGCTTCTTCCTCACTCAGCCTGCTTCACGAGAACACTGTGAGGGTCAAATGGGCTACGATCGCACTTTGAAGACTGCACAGTGGGATATAAATATAAGTGGGAGGCAGTGTAACAGGTGGCAGCATTTCCCTAAAGGACATTGATTCCGTCCGTATGTCCTACTCTGTAATCTGAGACAATGTCCCCAGCTTCCCGTGGCCATCCTTCACCAGGGAATCCAAACCACTCACGTGTCTCCCTCTCTCCTTTGGGGCGAAACCTGGTGCTACTGGGTCTTCTCACTTGGCCCCAGATGTATCTTCATCCACATAGCAGGTGGTCAGAAACAGGTCAGAGCCCTGGGGTGTGCTGATCAAAGACACACCAGAGAGCCAGAGAGTGTGGGAGAGCCAGAGAGTGTGGAGGCCTCCTCCAGGACTTTGGGTGAAGGAGGATTTAAGCCCTCTCACCCCAGTTGAAGGCAGAGCCAAATCCCGGAGGCCCTGTGAAAATGAGATTGCATTCCGAAAATCAGAATAGCACATTCACCTCCTAACAGCTATAATCCTCTCAACAGTGAAACTCCGGGGACAAGTGGACTTTGGCTGGGTTCAGTTGTGAATTCTGTAGACGTGCACACAAAATCATGACACTGGCAATTCTCACCTTCCCCAGAAAGCCAAGGCCTTCATGGAGGCCTCATCTGCAACCCCCCAGTTAGGTCCTCACACAGACCCCACCGTCCCACACATCAGCGGGTGCCATCCACCCTTCCCTCCACCTTGCCACACATCAAAGATTCCCAACTAGTGCCAAGTCTCCACCAGAGCATGGCACTCATCGGGCTGGAGTTGGAAGCAAAACTGAATATCAAACGTGCCATCCCTCATTCCACTGATGAGAAAACAGAGACCCAGAGAAAGGAACTGCCCTCTCCAGGATCAGAGCTCTGGGCCAAGGTCCCTTGTGGGCTACTTTATTGCTCTTTTTACTCAGGTACTTTATCTCCCTTTGCTGAGTAATAAAAGGTTTAATTACTCTCAGATGTTTACCAAAGAAATGTAATAACCTTCTCAGCATAATATTTGGGCATGAAGAGTATAATGATAGGCATATTTTGTGTGTGTTTTTGTTTCTGCCAGATTTTCCTTTACGTTCCCCTTAAGTCTGTGTTCCTTGAGCTAGAGGGGGTCTCAGATATAGTCTCAGGATTTCAAGAGTTCTCCAGAACAATTTTTAATTTAATTGCAGATTTTCATGTCAATGTAATAATAAAAGCATATGCAGCATTATGATGTTACAAGGTTTGAGCCGATTTTTTCCTTAAGTTTCTTTCCCTCCCGTTATGAGCAGCCCATAATTGGGTCCCCTGACTTACGGTTACGATTCTTAATGTAAGGGTTTCCCCCTCCATCCTTCAGTCTAGACAAAGACCCTCCCCTCACTGTAGAGGATGAGAGATTTGGAGAGAAGAGAAACAATTAAACATGGACGAGGATAGGAGGGTCTCTTTACCCTGGTTCTCTCTCAATTGGAGTAGAGGGGAATGAACCCCACTTCACCTCCGGTTCCCAGAATGGTAGCGATGCCCACAGATGTCCCTCTCAGAGTGGCAGCAAAGGAAAAGTTCTCCAAGGCAAGAAGTGGCAGACTCTGGAAGGCTCCAACAGTGGGATGAAAGTTTGCTGCCTAAAATGCTGGGATGGAATGTTCCAGCAAGAGGAGAGTGGCATCAAGGACATAACAGTGATCGTCACCACTGTGGGAAGGACAGTGACGACCAGGAAACACGATGGGATAGTGACATATTGTGGGAGCTGATGATGCAAATGTGAGGAGAGACTTCTACACCAGCCCTGCACCACCTCCCACCTCAGAACTTAGAAATCACACGGCGGGTGAAGAAGAGGCTGCTATTAAATTAATTGTGTGAAAGCCACTGAATTTATCTGGAAATTACCAGATGAACTTCTCTGTCAGAAGACATAATAATGCTTGGCATACAAATTAAAATCCGTAATAGGAAAATATAGAAATTTACTTTATACACCTGAATGTGTGAAAAGATGCCGCTCATTGCATGCATTCTGTAGTATCATCTCTATGGTACCAAATGCTGGAATTATTTGAATTTTTTATGGTCAGTCACATCAGCGCCAACTCACCGCGTAAAGAAGCTCCGTTTACACTCGCGTGTGTGTGTTCTCACAAATCATCTGCATACACTTTCTCAGAGGTCTGCCTGTGCTGAGAACTGTGTCCTAAATTATGCTACATATTATGGGAGGCCATTTTGTGCAGGAAGATGTTGGTGTGTGGGAGAGAAAAAAAGGAGTCACAATCTCTGCCATTCTGACTAGAGTCCACCTCCAGGAGAAGCGGGAAAACAAGGCATAAGCTGCTAGAACTGAGGAGAGGGAAAAACAAGCATCCGGCGAGGGCAGGAGGAACAGGAGAGGGGAGTCATGGATCTGCCTGGCCACCAGAGGGCAGCAGAGACGGGCTCACTGTCGGCTTCAAGGATGTTCCGCAAGTCGATTCACTTACAGACTCTTCTTCAAATGCGGCGGTCACCTGTGACCCACATTCATAACTCCCTCAGCCACTAGACGACAAAAGAAGCCCTGAGTTTAGGCTGACTGAGATTTTCATTCTAGCTTTGCTATACATTTGGGCAAGCTTTACTTTGGGTAAGTCTGTTCTTTCCAGGGGTCTCAATTTTCTTAGTTTTTACACAGGGATAGTATGTGGGTGGCTCACATTAAAGTATCGTTGTAAGGATAAAGTAAGAATATAATCATGATACAAAATCCCTATATAGCTATTAGGTGTCATTACTGGGAATGGAAGGTCTTGGAAAGAAGGTGGATAGAAAAATAGAGGAGATTAGAAATGAAGATAAGAAATCAAGGTCAATCCAAGAAATGTCAGGAAAGTGTTGCTATGAATATGGAGAAGTTCAGGCGACGCCATCAGCTGTTTCTTGGGGACCTGGTTGAAAGATGTTTTGAGAGCTCTCAGATCAACTCACCAGAAAGATGATTACTTTGTGGAGTCTCCCAGCAGTGAGACTTATACAGGTATCGTTTCCTCAGGGAAAGGAAAGAAAAATCAGCAGCTCTCATCTCCTGGAGGCACAGTGGCTTGTCCTCCACAGTCCCCTCGGTTTGCTGACTGACTGGAGGAGAGAGAGCACCTGCAGAAGCCCTGCGACTCCTCCCCCAGATGTGAGTGGGGGGCCTGGGATTCCCGAGGCCAGTGAGGGGAGGGTGGTGCTCACAGGACGGAGGCCTTTCCTCACAGCGTGGCCACGGTTCAATCTGCACCTCTGGCCATTTTTCTTGATTGGCAAAAAGAAGGAAAGAAGGAAAGAAGAAAGGAAGAAAGGGAGGAAGGGAGGGAGGGGGGAGGAAGGAGGGAGGGAAAGAAAAGAAAAGAAAAAAGAAGAAAAGAAAGAAAAGAGAAGAAAGGAGGAAGGGCAGGCAGTAGAACTTCTGAATAGGAAAATGCCCAAACATTTAGGGATGGAGGACTGAGGTATTCTTAGTTCTGGCTGACCTACAGTCTAAGTTGAGCTCTTTACATACATGGCTGTCATATACTTTACAAAAAGTGTCTGACAAACCAGTTCCTCTAAAACTTTTAATTTTAAAAAATTTAGGTTGGGTGTGGTGGCTCACACCTGTAATTTCAGCACTTTGGGAGGCCGAGGCATGTGAATCACCTGAGGTCAGGAGTTTGAGACCAGCCTGGGCAACATGGTGAAACCCCGTTTTTACTAAAAATACAAAAATTAGCTGGGCGTGGTGGTGCACGCCTGTAATCCCAGCTACTCCAGAGGCTAAGGTAGGAGAATCACTTGAACCTGGGAGGCGGAGGTTGCAGTGAGCTGAAATTGCGCCATTGCACTCCAGCCTGGGCAACAGAGTGAGACTCTGTCTCAAAAAATAAATAAAATAAAATAAAATAAAATAAATTTTTACTTTTAAATTTACTTTTATGAAAGAGTTACAGAAGTTTAAGACAATCACAATGATCATCTATTATTTTTTGAAAATGATGAAATTACCTAAAATTGATTCTACTGCAGGTGGGAGCCTATAAGACTAAAGTTCCCAGGAAGAGATGTAAGCTTCGGTGAAGCCCACCTCAGTTGACTCCAAAACTAATGCAGATGCCCCCTTGGGGAATTGCGGGGAGAGGGTGTACAGAATGTGTTAATACCATCACACTCCTCCCAGGACCCCAAAGAAGCTGCACTCACAGAGATATCCGGGCATGTCTCACACTGGAAATAGGGGACCCTTCCAAATATTGGGAGAAAGAAGGCAAAGAAAATCATACCGATATACTAAGCCTCCTGCATTTGCACCCATCCAGCCTGCCATTCATCCTGGGTTCTTTTACTTGGTCCTCTTGGGGCCTCTCAGAGGATCTCCATCTCTGCGAAGTGCATTCCCCACCGGGCTGTTGCAGTTCCACACATGGCCAGTAGATGACAGGTTTGTTCAAGAACCGCCTCCAAGATTTTACTACTGCACCGCGATTTCGGAGTGGCGGGAAGGACTGAGAGTCCCATTTAGAAACTTCCCAAATCTTAACTGCCAATATCTTTCTTTCTAAAATTGTGTTTTTGTATTTCGTGGTAAACTCAGTTCAAAGCCGCGGATGGGGGCAGGAATAGGAAAACTGCTGCTGCTGCTGAATATGCTTCTCTCTCTTAAAGGTCCCAGCAGAATTCTGCCACTGAACCACCCTGGGAGAATGCGGGGGAAAGAGAGGAGGAGAGAAGGACAGAGAGAGAGAGAGAGCCAGAGAGGATATGAGGGAGATAGGGAGAGAGGACTGCTTCATTGTCTTAAATTCGTTGTAATCACGTCGCAATACCAGGCACTCATTCTTAAGGTAGCAAAGCAGAAAATATTATAAGTTCAGTTATTAATGTCATTTGCACTTTTGAGAGTAGAGAACATAGGCACTAATATTATAATAATTCAATAACTATGAAGGAATCAAGACAATCTTCAGGGAGGATGTGGTGCATGGAATGGAATGTAAGGAATCGTTCATACTTCATGTAGGTTTAGCATTTCTTGATTACAAGCTAAATAAGGGGTGGATTACTCATGAGTTTTCCGGGAAGGTGGTGGGCAATTCCTGGACTAAGGGCTTCTCTCCTTTTTAGACCATATAGGGTAATTTTGGATGTTGCCATGGCATCTGTAAACTGTCATGGCGCTGGTGGGAGTGTCTTTTAGCATGCTAATACTTTATAATTAGCATATAATGAGCAGTGAGGATGACCAGAGGTCACTCTTGTGGCCATGTTGGTTTTGGTGGGTTTTGGCCCGTTTCTTAACTGCAACCTGTTTTATCAGCAAGGTCTTCATGACCTGTATCCTGTGCAGACCTCCTATCTCATCCTGTGACTGAAAGTGCCTTAACCTCCTGGGAATGCAGCCCAGTAGCTCTCAGCCTCATTGTACCCAGCCCCTATTCAAGATGGAGTTGCTCCGGCTCAAACACCTCTGACATTTGTGGACACGTAGAAAAGGATAATTAATGGGTTAGCAGGATGAAAGGAAAACTATACCCCAAAGGATAGCCTAGCCATTGAAATTGATATGAACTGGAATATGAAAATAATTGGGGACAATTTAGTTTCATGACCATATATAAAACATTTAACTATGTCTGGTTGTATTTTAACATAAAATTGGGCATGGGAAACTATTTTTAAAATATTCTTTATTTTTTAAATTGACCTGGATTTTTCTTTCAACTTTTATTATTTTAAAAATTAGTTTAAGCCTAGCAGATTTCACATAATTTCAGACTCCTTTTGGCAAACAGTAAACATTACAGCCTGGAAAGCTTGATTGCTTATATATAAAACCCTAAGAGAGCTATTGAAAATGCCTAGAATGTGTGAATTTAACAATGGTAAAATACAAAAACAAATTGTAATTCTATACACCACAGCAGAATATCATATATAAAATTTAAAAATCACTTCATTATGACAGCAATAAAAACATAAAATACTTAGACATAAACTGAACCGAAAGATGTGTGATGTGAAACTATAAAATACTGATGAGAGAAACTGATAAAATTCTAAATGTGTAAAGAGATATAATATATTTTGATTTGGGAAGAATTGATATTTTTGAAATAACAGTTCTCAACACGATCTTGATCAATATTCCCATTGGGTTTCTTTGTGGCAATAGACAATTCTAAAATTTATATGAAAATACAAAGGATCTACAATAGCCAAAACTTATTTGAAAAAGGACAGAAGAAATATGCAAAGCTTGGTTTCAAGTCATGCTTCAAAGCTATGGGCAACATGTCAAGGCTAGTAATGTAAGTTAGAGAAACTTCAACAAAGAATTGTGCTTAGTTGTGGGAATCCATGGGAGATTCTGGAATGAAGATGCATAGGAAACAAATGCAAGAGATGAGTCCTGGGCCCTCAGTCATTTAGAGGTTGGGAAGATGGGAGACTTGGCAAGGCAGGCTGAGATCTGGCTGTTATTCTCGTGTGATGAGAATCTCAAGACAGTGAGGTTTAGTAACAAGTCAAGAAAATACATCAATGATGCAGTAGTGGTTAACTACATAAAATGCTTCTGATATGATGAATAAAATGACATCCTAGAGATGACCATTGGATTTGGCAACATGGAGCTAACACATGTCAGTGACAAGGAGTTCAGTTAAAGATGTGGACTGTAGCCTGATCTGTGAAGAGTGGAAGAAGAATGGGGAGGAATGGAAATAACAGGTGCAGCCCAATATTTTTAAGAGTTTCCTTCAGATTAGAAGTAAAAATTCATTAGCAGAGTTGGATTTAGGGAAAAGGAAATGCCGTGGCATGTTTATATGCTGATTGGAATCACTCACTAGAGAGAGGAAATTTTTTTGGTAAACTGGATAAAGATACTTACAACATATTAAACCATGAAAAGGATTAGTACCCAGAACATAGAAAGGCCTCCTACAAATCAATTAGTAAAGGACTATATTTTTCTGAGAAAAAAAATGGTAAAGGCAAGAAGAAACATTTTATAGTAACATGTATAAATGACATGTGAATATGTGAAAAAATTTCAAACTCTTCATTATAAGTCAGAGAAATGTAAATAAACGCCACACTGAAAAAACAATAAAAATATCAAAACCTAGCAAGGATGTGGGTCAATGTTTCTACCAACAGACTTCTGAAGGAAATAGAAATTGTTAGGATCATTTTGGAAAACAAGTCAGCATAACATAGTAAGGTTGAAAATATATATACATTATCATACTACATTACTACTACAATGCTACTCTAGAACATACATCAAGAACTATTGCAAGTTCATTACAACTTCATTCCTAATAGCAAAACATCAAAACAACTTAAGTATCCATTAACAACTGAATAACTTTATATATTTTCATATCAATTATAGTTATTTATACTATATAGTTATTTATAGTTAAATTCATAAATGGAAATAGCTTTTTTTTTTGAGACGGAGTCTTGCTCTGTTGCCCAGGCTGGAGTGCAGTGGCGTGATCTCGGCTCACTGCAAGCTCTGCCTTCCGGGTTCACACCATTCTCCTGCCTCAGCCTTCCCAGTAGCTGGGACTACAGGCGCCCGCCACCACGCCCGGCTAATTTTTTGTATTTTTAGTAGAGACGAGGTTTCACCATGTTAGCTAGGGTGGTCTCGATCTCCTGACCGCGTGATCCTCCCGCCTTGGCCTCCCAAAGTGCTGGGATTACAGGCGTGAGCCACCACGCCCGGTCAGAAATAGCTTTTTTAGGGCTGGTAAAATGGCCTTCATCTAGATTTTCTCATGCTTGTTTGTGAATTGGCTCCCCTCTCGATGAGCTGGTGCACTATCATTATGAGTTTTGTGCAACATTGAGTTCTTGCTTGGCAAGTTTTGTAGAATTTCTTTCCTGGGTTTTGCATGCTGAAAACATGGCTTCATTGGGCATTGGTAAATCAAACGGAGAGGAGGCAGTGCGGCAAGTACAAAGACCATAGTTACAATACTCTAAACCAAAAATATCTGAGACAGATCTCAATCAATTTAGAAGTTTATTTTGCTAGGGTTTAAGACAATGCCCAGAAGACAAGTCTGTGGCTTTCTCCAAAGATGATTTAGAAGCCTTCAATATTTAAAGGTGAAAAGCAGACTGGAGGGAGAATTGAATAGCTCCAATAGTGTACTTTCCTTGGTAATTTTCACTCTTCCTTGGACTATCACATAGGTTGAAACTCTGATATATGTCAAGGTTGTAAACCAAAAAGTGTCTGAGACAGGTCTTAAGCAATTTAGAAGTTTATTTTCCCAAGGTTAGGGACATGCTGGAAAGAAAAAATCATCAAATGACACAGGCAATCTGGTCTGTGTCTTTCTCCAAAGATGATTTCAATATTTAAAGGGGAAAAGTGGGCTGACAGGGAAAGAGAGAAGGTATGGCAATCCACATGTTGCAAGGAAAAAGGGGCAGGTAGGGGAAGAGTCAGTTATGTATTCATCTTGCTCTCAGTAAATCATCGCTTTGCATATGATTAGGTGAACATAGAGTAGCTACCGGTGGGGATATTTTTAACCTTTTATCTGTAGCTATCTGCTTGGAAACCAAAGGAAAGGCAATTTCTTGCGTGACTCAGCTTTCACCTTAATTCTTTCCTTTTGACATGGTGAATTGGGGTGCCAAATTTTTAGTTTCCTTTCACAATTTATACAAAACACAACTCAACAGACATCCTCATATCCCAGTGTATGTGGCGGCTCTGGATTCTATTCCTGCTCACCTGGACCTGATTGATCTGATATAGGCAGCTTGGAAACTACTTAGGTAGATGGTGGGGAGGGAAACGTTCCAGCTAACCATGAGCAAGTAAAATACAACTTCACATCCATCATTATCCAGCCCCAAATCATCCAACATCTAGATAATTCCTTAGAGTAAGGGAACAAGATAATGGCCACAACCAAGTAGGAAAGAATCACGTATACAGACGATTTTCATTCCCAAAGATCAGAAGATGTAAATGCAAAGAGAAAAAGTGCTTCCTACGATGCCAGCTCCAGCTTGATAAGAATATATGCTATTTATTATGTGAGGGGGAAACATGTTCAATACAGCTAGCTGCTTCAGCTTCCATGTGGTGTTTGATACCTGTGTTCCTTTTCATTTGGCTCAACTTCCATTAAGCACAAAAACCTCACAAAATGTTCAAAGGGCTAGAGGGACAAATTTGGATTTCATGCCTCACAAATAAAGGAAGGACTCCATAAGATAAAAATACGCTTTCCATAGAAACCTTGGAAGTCTAATATGTGGAATAAGGTGAAACAGAAACAGATCATCCTTCATAGGAACTGAATCCTGAGTTCTAACTAACTAATCCTAGACTAGATTTGGGTGATTTGAGATATTAATGACCTTAGCCTCATAGCCTCATTGCCTGACACAAGCAAAACTAAATAACCTCTAGAGAAATATAATATTTCCTGGAGCCTCAAATTATCACTCATATTTTTCTTCTGCATGGCATCAATTAAAAAATATATAAGAAAACAAAAAATAATAAAATCCAAGAAAAACATAACAGAACATAAATATACGACTTTGACTTCTCTGTGGGATACTGCTAGATTAACTCAACACTCCCAGTACACCAGCTAGAAAAG
Organism: Homo sapiens; assembly: GCF_000001405.40. Taxonomy (NCBI): domain Eukaryota; kingdom Metazoa; phylum Chordata; class Mammalia; order Primates; family Hominidae; genus Homo; species Homo sapiens. Next base: position 3,661,137 of record NT_167245.2, read on the forward strand.
TTAAAAATTTAAAACACAAAATTCGTACTTTAAAGGAAAAGGAGAGCTGTGGAAGCAACATGCACTAGATGAAATACAATTGCAGAGAATAGGTGATCCTTTTGAGGTGAGCTGACAATCACAGCTCTTCCCCTGCCACCCATGGGGCATTTGCCAATTCATTGTTCATACAGAAGAGGTGTCATGGGCTCAGGAGGGAATCTGCTGGAGAAAGGGAAACCAAGCAAGGGACACAGGGACAGACTAAGAAATTAGATATTTGAGGTTCTCAAATTCTCAAATTCATGGCGTGATTTCCCCACAAGATATTTCTTGAGCTGTGGTGCAGCACTGAGCTATGAGCCAGGCCCCAAACTCCAAAGGCAGAATGAGGACTCCTCCATGTTGCTTGTGTTCAGGACACGGAGAACTGCCTTCAGCCTGGGTCTGTCGAGCACAAGGTGGGTCTCCCCGTTTTCACATGTGCCTGCTCCTGAAGCCACCTGAGAAGGAGGCCAGGGAGCTGGGCCAGCAAGTACTGAAGTTCAGGGCTGAATCTCTCACTGACATTTGTAGGAACAGAGACCTACCTGGGTCTTAATTAAAAGCTCTGGAAGGAGAGTCATGGCCTCTGGTATTGACGGAGTAGTTTGTATTGAAATAACCCTCTTGCTGGTAACAATGATAAATTCTGGACCACCTTCATTTTCCAATTTATTTCATTGTGTTGTGATAAGAACACCTTACATGAAATATACCCTCTTTACAAGTTTTTAACTACAACACAGTATTGTTAACTATAGGCACAATGTTGTATAGTAGATCTCTAGAACTTATTCATCTTGCATAACTAAAATGTTATATTGGTTGAACAGTAACTCCCCCATTTACCTTGCCCCCAGTCTCTGGCAACCACCAACCTATTCTCTGTTTCTATGAGATTGGCTACCTCGGCACCTCATATAAGTGGGATTGAAGCAGCCTCGTTTGTCTGGGGTGACCTGAGGTTTGTTGTCTCGTGGCCATAGAGATCAAGGATGCAGACACACAAAAAGTAAGGCTAAGAGTGGAAATTTAAAGAATGTCTTTATTCCTGTCTTCGTTTTGTTATTTACCCAGTAGTCATTCAGGAGCAGGTTGTTCAGTTTGCATGTATTTGTGTGGTTTTGAGTGACTTTCATAATCCTGAGTTCTAATTTGATTGCACTGTGGTCTGAGAAACTGTTATGATTTCCATTCTTTTGCATTTGCTGAGGAGTGTTTTACTTCCAATTATGTGGTCAATTTTAGAACAAGTGCGATGTGGTGCTGAGAAGTATGTATATTCTGTTGATTTGGGGTGGAGAGTTCTGTAGATGTCTATTAGGTCTGCTTGGTCCAGAGCTAAGTTCAAGTCCTGAATATCTTTGTTAATTTTCTGTCTTGTTGATCTGTCTAATATTGACAGTGGAGTGTTGAAGTCTCCCACTATTATTATGTGGGAGTCTAAGTCTCTTTGTAGATCTCTAAGAACTTGCTTTATGAATCTGGGTGCTCCTGTATTGGGTGCATATATATTTAGGATAGTTAGCTCTTTTTGTTGAATTAATCCCTTTACCATTGTGTAATGCCCTCTTTTGTCTCTTTTGATTTTTGCTGGTTTAAAGTCTGTTCTATCAGAGGTGTTTATAGTATTCTCTGATGGTAGTTTGTATTTCTGTGGGATCAGTGGTGATATCCCCTTTATCATTTTTATTGCATCTATTTGATTCTTCTCTCATTTCTTCTTTATTAGTCTGGTTAGCGGTCTATCTATTGATCTTTTTTTACAAAAAAAAAAAAAAAAAAAACCCAGCTCCTGGATTCATTGATTTTTTGAAGGGTTTTTCATGTCTCTATCTCCTTCAGTTATGCTCTGATCTTAGTTATTTCTTGCCTTCTGCTAGCTTTTGAATTTGTTTGCCCTTCTCTAGTTCTTTTAATTGTGATGTTAGGATGTTGATTTTAGATCTTTCCTGCTTTCTCTTGTGGGCATTTAGTGCTATAAATTTCCCTCTACACACTGCTTTAAATGTGTCCCAGAAATTCTGGTATGTTGTGTCTTTGTTCTCACTGCCTGAAAGGAATTTAACCCATAAGGAGGCCAAGTCAATGCTAGCTTTCAAGGCTTTTAAGTACAGATAACGGTCTTGCTTGAGGGCAATGTTGCAGGCTACAAATTAAAGCCCTTTGTGATCCAGCAAGGTGAAAACCCCAGGACCTTCCTTTAAGAATATAAAAAGAGGCCAGATACAGTGGCTCACGCCTGTAATCCCAGCACTTTGGGAGGCCGAGGTGGGCGGATCACGAGGTCAGGAGATCAAGACCATCTTGGCTAACACAGTGAAACCCTGTCTCTACTAAAAATACAAAAAGTTAGCCGGGTGTGGTGGTGGGCACCTGTAGTCCCAGCTACTCAGGAGGCTGAGGCAGGAGAATGGTGTGAATCTGGGAGGTGGAGCTTGCAGTGAGCCGAGATCATGCCACTGCATTCCAGTCTGGAAGACAGAGCTAGATTCCATAAAAAAAAAAAAAAAAAAAAAAAAAATATATATATATATATATATATATATATATATATATATATATATAAAGTATATCCTGCCAGTACACTACAGGTGTAATAAAACATCATGGATGACCCATCTCCTCTTCCATGATTACATCCTAAATTGCTATGCCAGAGAAATAGAGAGGCATTGTCTGAAAAATACCATAACTTTCAAGATTTTGTTTATGGTTATTTGTTCTCCTGCACATCCTCCTGTTATTAATGATCTTTATCCCAATATCGAAGTGGTGCTTCTCCCTCTTTAATCCAACCAATGGATCAAGGAATTATAGCAGCTTTTAAGGTTTACTATCTGAAGAGGGCCTTTGCCCATGTTATTATGGTAACTCAGGAAGACACTGAGAAGACAGTGATGCAATTCTGGAAGGATAACAACAGCTATGGCTACATCAAGAACCTTGCTTGGGATGGGGATGATGTCACCGAGGAGTGTGTGAATGGCATCTGGAAGAAGACACTCAGGAGGTTTGTCTGTGAGTTCAAAGGGTTTGCCAAGGATGAGGAGATTGCAAAAATCTACAAGGCTTTGGCTGAGATGGCAAACAACTTTAAACTGAGTACGGATGAGGATGGCATTAGGAGCTCCTAGAGGTAGTTCCTTGGAATTGACTAATGAGGAGTTGTTGGAACTGAGACAGGAATGCATAGTTGAAGTAGTGGTCAGAAAAAAAGGAAACTGAAGGAGAAGAAGAAGAAGAACCCCAAATAAAATTCCCTGTGCAGGGTTTAGCAGGAGCTTTTGCAGACCTCAACAAGCTCCTTAAAAATTTGAAAACATGAACCCCAGCACAACAAGGTTTTCATTAATAAAGAGGAATGTTCACGGTGAATCATCTGCTTATAAGCAAATCTATGATGAAAAAAGGAAACCAAGCAAACCATCATGGACCTGTTTCTGAAGAGTGACACCTCCTCAAGAAGAGCCTCAAGCAGGTCCTTCAGGAGGAATTCCAGAAGAAAGTGTAGTTATCATAGGAGATGGCCTCTCCATGTGTGCTATGGCCCCTGAAGACATTTTGGTAGGACAAGATGTGGAAGTGGGAAACAGTGATATTGATGATCCTGACTCTGAGTAGGCCTAGGCTAATGTGTGTGTTTCTTAGATTTTTTTTTAAGTTTAAAAAGTGAAAAAAAAAAATTAAGTAGAAAAAAGCTCATAGTATAAGGATATAAAGAAAATATTTTTGTATAGTGTTTGTGTTTTAAGCTGTGCTATTACAAAACAGTCAAAAAGTTAAAAAATTAAGTATATAAAGTTTAAAAAGTTAGAGTAAGCTAAGGTTAATTATTGTAGAAAAACATTTTTCATAAATTTAATGTTGTCTTAGTTACAGTATTTATAAAGTCTACAGTAATGTATAGTAATGCCTTAGGCCCTTGCATTCACTCACCACTCACTCACTGACTCATCAGGGCAACTTCCAGTTCTGCAAGCTCCATTCATGGTAAGTGTCCTAGAAAGATCTACCATTTAAAAATCTTTCATATGGTATTTTCACCACACCTTTTGTATGTTTAGATACATAAACAGTTAGCATTGTGTTACAATTACCAATAGTATTCAATACAGTCACATGCTGTACAGGTTTGTCGCCTAGGGGTAATAGGGTGTACCATATAGCCTAAATGTATAGTAGGCTATAACATCTAGTTTGCGTAAGGACACTCTGTGATGTTCACACAAAGATGAAATCACCTAATGACACATTTCTCAGAGCTTGTCCCTTTAGCTAAGTGATGCATGACTTCAGTTTTGCCCCATTTCTAGAGCATAGTCCTCCATGACTTTCAATGAAAAACCCGATAGCTTTCATCTTCTCAATCCTGAAGAGCTGAAGGAGATTTAGGCTGAACTTAAAGAAATTTTCAGCTTAGCTCATTAGTCTTCTACTCCATACATCTTCAACATTTAACAAGTGTTTTGAAAAAGACACCTACAAAGTGCTTGAAGTCATCAACTCTCAAATCTTGTCATTGCAGCACCATGTCAAATGACAAAACACTTGCTATTTTCTTAGTCCACTGGAGGAGCCTATTGTCAGAGGCCAAACCTGGATTATTAGCTCCAAACAAGCACTCAGATCAGTAAGTGTCCTCAGGTGATAAGTGGTTGTTGTTACTTGGCATCAATTCACCAGTTCTTCTGAAACTTACGTCTGTTTTGTTTTAGGGCCCTTATCAATGGTAGGTCTTTGTTTCCTCAACACCACTGGACAGTGAAAGATTTTGCACTGCCTTTCAGAAGTTGACACTTTAGTTTTTTGTTTTACCTTCTACCGTAGCATCAGAAGTTAACCAACGTGTTTTGAAGAAACCAGAGTGTTTGAGATGCCTCAGTTTTCTAGTTACATCACACTGGCCCCATAATTGCTGCTGATTTCTTTCTTACAGCAGAAAACTGTAGGAAAATTGTAGCAGAAAACTTTTCTACAGCAGAAAACGGTAGCAGAAAAATGGCACTAAAACGCAGCGTACACTTGCAAACAGCAAATGCTACCAAGAGAAACAGTGATGTCCAAACGTCAGCTTACATTTGCATGGTTCTTCTTTGGAATTTTTATTCATCTAGTCCTATTTACTTTCTTAGCTAAACAATGCTTTTTAAAAATATACCTTTAAAATTTTATCCTATTTTTGTAGTTGTTGCCAGTGGGACAATTTGTCCTACTGTGACCCTAATGCATCTTATACTGTGGTGGAAAAAAGAATAAGATTTTAAATTGTGCTTTCTGAAAAACTGGATATAGAAACAGACAATGGCCAGACCATATATAAAAATAGGCCTGGCTGGGCATGGTGGCTCACGCCTGTAATCCCAGCACTTTGGGAGGCCAAGCGGATGGATCATGAGGTCAAGAGATCAAGACCATCCTGGCCAACATGGTGAAACCCCTGTCTCTACTAAAAATACAAATTTAGCTGGGCATGGTGGCACGCAGCTGTAGTCCCAGCTACTCGGGAGGCTGAGGCAGGAAAATCACTTGAGCCCAGGAGGTGGAGGTTGCAGTGAGCTGAGATCGTGCCACTGCACTCCAGCCTGGCGACAGAGCAAGACTCCATCTAAGAAAAAAAAAAAAAAATAGACCTTTGACCCACAGCCTACAGCAGCCTGCCTGGGGAACCAATTCCCTTATCTTCAATAAACAATACAGCAAGGTAGTCTGCTTAAGTCCGACTTGCAGGAAGTCAGATTGCTGTCTCTAGTAACAATCCAGGAGGCTAAATAATAACTTTTATAACAATTGTTTTAAAATGGCCAGGACTTGATTAATAACTGACAGTTCCCCCAATATTTGTGCCTGCTTCCAACTTAGGACCAACCAGGGAAAGCTAAATATGCATACTACCCAATTACATAGGATACTCCACTTCCAGTTACCCCTTAAGCATTCCCCATGCCAACAGCCTCCAATCAGGTCCCTTTTAACCACTATAAAGTTTCCTACTTCTTTGCCTGTCTTTGAGTCTCTGCCAAAATGCAAAAGATGGTGGCTGACTCCTTTGTTATAGCAATTTGTGAATAATTTTTGCTCTTTTCATTTGGTTGATCTTCATGTATTTTCACATTATTAAGCTTTATATAAATTAAAATCCAAGAGGCTAACATTTAATTAATGACATTTAAGATCTTCTATATCGGATAATGCTATACATTATATTAGGTTTAATATTTCTATTAAGTATAGATTTAGTAAATTACTAAAAATGCTAAAAATTCATCAAATATATATGTAAGTACAAATAAGGAGAATGCAAAGAGAGATATTAGAAAGGGGTAATATATTCAGGAATAAATATTCAAGATATTTTAAGTTGGAGATATTGTCTGTTGGTACTAAATCAATTTCCCCCTGTTTTGTGCTTTTTTCCACATCACTTGGGGTTGAAGCCTGGACACCACTTCTTCCAGAGTCCCTTTCTTAGGAAGGCACTCACTTGCGATTAGAAGGCAGTGGAAAATTGCTGTCATTCTGCTTCTGACAGCAAGTAGCAGCAGCTGCCAGGAGTGTGGGTTTGTTTAGTGCTGCAGGGCCAATAGTAGCTTCCTGCAGTTCCTGACCTTTGGAAGCACAATTTTGCTTTTTCTGTCCTTACAAAACTTTTGCAATGCACTTCACTGTATTACATCTCTCTGGGCTTAAAATACCTTGAGTGTGTTTTTTCCCCCTTGTAAATCTGGGCTAGACTGAATAATCTTGTAAGTATGTAAATATAAGCAACTATTTTAAAATAACCTGGGTTTTTAAATGTAATACAGATGCTCTTCAACTTATGATGGGGTTAACTCCCAATAAATCCATTGTAAATTGAAAATATTGTGAGTTGAAAGTGTAGAGTATAAGTTGTTCACCTTCATGATCATGTGGCTGAGGCTGCCTGGCATTGTGAAAGAGTATCTTACTGAGTATCGCTGGTCTGGAATAAGATCAAAATTTAAAGTATGGTTTATACAGAATGGATATTGCTTTTACACCATTGAAAAGTCAAAAAATCCTAAGTCAAACCATCTTAAGTCAGGTGTGTCTGTAGTTTAAAAAAAATTACAAATAAAGAATATCCAATGTTGTTGGGAGTGCAGAGAAGATTTACAAGGTAAACATTGATTTGTTTAAAGTTTGAGAGAAAAAATTAGATAATATGCTTTATGATTTTTAAATGTTAATTTCAAAATAATTATACATTCACAGGAGTTGATGAAAATAGTACAGAGAGGTCCCTTGTACCCTTCACCCAGTTTCCCCCAATGGTTACATCATACATAACTATAGCACAATATCGAAACAAGGAAATCGACACTGATACAATGTATTTGCAGTTTTCTACTTTATCACATGTGTAGATTCATGTAACCACCACTGTGATCAAAATACAGAACTATATTCCATCACCACAAAGATCTTCCTCATGCCACTCGCCCTCCTTAAGAGTCACACCATTCCCCCACCCCCCACCATCCCTACACTGTGCCAACCACTAATTTGATTTTCATCTGTATAATTTTATCATTTAGAAAATGTTATATAAATGGAATTATACTATATGTGACCTTCCGAGACTGGCATTTTGTACTCAGAATAATGCCCTTGGGATCTGTATTAGGTGCTCCAGAGCAGTTGTACTAACAGGATATGTATATATAGAAAGATACTTCTTTTAAAGAATTTGCTCACATGATTGTGGAAGCTTACTGAGTCCAAATTCTGATGGAAGAGGCCAGCAGTGGAGGAGACTGGGACAGAGTTGCAGTTTGAGCCCAAAGGTAGTCTGCTGTGGAACCAGGAAGAGCCAGGATTGCAGATGGAGTCTGAGACAATCTGTTGGAGAGTTCCCTCTTATGCTAATCAGGCATTCAACTGATTAAATGAGGGGAACCCAGTTATGGAGGGCAATGTACTTTACTTAAAATCTACTGACTTAAATATGTAACTCTCACCCCAAAACTGCCAGATGATGTGAAATTCCATGTCCTCTACTTGGCTCCATTGACACTCAGATGGAGTAGATTAAACAACAGACATTTACTGAAAGTCCTCACTTAACATCATCAATAGGTTCTTAGAAGCTGTGACTTTAAGCAAAATGACATATAATAAAACTAATTTGACCATAGGCTAATTCAGCGATCCCCAACATTTTTGGCACCAGGGACTGGTTTTGTGGAAGAAAATTTTGCCATGGATGGGGGTTGGGGACTAGCGGTGGCAGGGAGTGGGATGGCACAACCTAGATCCCTCGCATGGGCAGTCCACAATACAGTTCACAAAGGTTTGCACTCCTGTGAGAATCCAATGCCTCTGCCGATCTGACAGCAGGCCATTAGTGGTCTGTGGCCCAGGGGTTGGGAACCCCTGGGCTAATTGATGCGAACAAGATTTAAGTTCCTGTGGCTTATTTCTGGTCACAAACACATCACCAAACTCCTAAATAAAGACTCAGAACACTTCTAATATTAAACATTAAAATAAATGGGAACTATATATACATTTAAGGTAGGTTTATAATAACAAGTAAGATAATTAATTATCCAGTTTTTGGTGAATTAGTGAGTGATGGTGGTCACAGTGGTGGTGGGTTACATTAAGGAACAAATGTTTGTAAAATGAAAATGGTAAGGAGCACCTCCTGCCACCACACAGCTCAAACACAAAGAAGAACAAATACGTTGAACTCACTGAGTACTTTTGTACCCCATTGTTTACTATTGTACAGTTGTATGAATATCATGTACTTTACAAATTTTTATTTTAGAAACATTTCTATTCATTCGCTTATTCATTTTCCAACCTGCTTATTCCAGTTCAAGGTCATGGATGACTGGAGCCTATCCCGGCAGCTCAAGGACAAGAGAGGAACCAACCTTGTATAGGATGCCATCCCATCCATTGTGGGATGCAGACACACACACACATACACACAAAGTCACTCTGCTGGGACAATTTAGACTCACCAATTAACCTAACATGCATGTCTTTGGGATGTGGGATAAAACTCAAATACACAAAGAAAACCCATGCGGACGTGGGGAGAACACACAAACTCCTCATGGACAGTGGCCCTGGCCAGGAACCTATTTATTTTCTCACCAACATTGTAACAAAACGTTGAACAAAACAATGCTGTAGGAGGACCCTCTGTGTTTCTCACAGTCCTGGAGGCTGGGAAGTCCAAGATCAAGATGCTGACAGGTTCAATTCCTGGTGAACTTAGAACTGAAGGCTCTCTGGCAGGGGTGCCTTGTGGCTGCAGGCTGGGTATAGAAACTCAGGCTCCCCACTAGGCCTCCACTTACAGAATCCTGACTGGGAGGGAGAGGGTCTCATCAGCGCTCCCACATGGCCTCTACTGACACCAGGAAGGGAGAAGTGCCTCCTTACACCTGGACAGTGGTGAAAGTCCCAGCTTTCTACTTGGCCTCCTCTGACAACACCTTGGCAAAGTGGGTGAGGAGTGCTTCCTTGCAACAGGGCAGGTGGAAGTCCAGGCTCTTCACATGGGCTTCACTAACACCACAGTGTGGAGGTGGCTGATTACTGATAGGCAGGGGCAAAAGTCCTAGGTCCCCAGTTGGCTTCCTCTGACATAAGCCTGATGGGTCTAGGTAGTGTCTCATTATCGCCAGGCAATGGGATAAGACAAAGCTCCTCACTCAGTGTTTGCTGACTGAGGCGGGATGGAAGCCCCTGATTTTTCTGTATTTGACTGGAGTAGTGCGGTTACTGTCAGTTATCTGCCTGGTAGGCTGCTCTTTCTTGTTCCCTTGGATAGAGAAACATGCTTTCCTTAGGATATTTTTGTCTGTGACTACTGATGTTTCCTGTTTTCCAGTTTCTCTAGCACTCATTCCTGGATATATTAGGCAGAAAGAAGACCTATGAAACTCACCACTCTGTCATTCCCCAATCCCATGGTCTGAGGCCAACCTGCTTCTCCTCTCCATCATTCAAGGGCTTATTATGTCTGTCTGTAGCTGTACTTAGCAGGAGGAATAGGAAGAATTGTACCTACTTCATCTTGTCTTAGAACCAGAAATCTCTCACCATATTTTTTAAAATATGTTTTTGTCATATATTAAAATATTATACCTCTATCCTTAGATCCTTAAATAAACATATAATGTATCCTTAGAGTTAAGTTAATTTGGTAACAAAAATAAAACAAGACTAAAACTATTAATTATGTTAAAGCCATAAAAATATGCAAATTTTTTCCCAAAATATGGGAAATGTGCGTGTGTGTGTGTGTATCTCCTATGTATACACATATACCATATGACATATACACATAAAAAAAGACATAAAATGAAAATTGCCGATGTATCAATACCCGGGGGCAGGGAGTATTCTCAGGTTTAACTAAATACTCATATTCAAGTTTTTACCATAGGCCACACCTGGCTCTCAGATTCACTTAGAAGGATATTAGACAGGAGTCAAAGTATGCCAAAGTGCTGAATCAGGTCTTTTTCTTCAGTGGGAGAAGTTCTTGAAACAGTCTATAATTTATTCCAGGTGCTAGTTTCATCCTCTGCCCCCATCCCCCAAGTGACAACTCAGGTACAAGGAGCTGAATTTACACCTGTGGAAGTTGTGTCCACCCTAGCTTAGAATCCTCATGTCATCTGCGAGCTAGTACCTCTTATAACAAACCCATGGGCACAGCTTCCAGAGTCCCTGTAAAGGGCATGCTCAGTTACAAGGGTCACTGCATTTGGAAATACCCAAACTATGGGTCCCCGTCATTTGTTACGGTTCATGAAATATTCTTCCCAGTAAAGATACAAAATGCCAACCAGAAGCCATTTGTGCCATAAGCAATGTTGTCTAAAAATCCAGCTGACATTCTTCCTCCATCAGGTTTCCAGAAAACAGCTAGAAAATTAGCCTAAGATTAAATACATCATGGAGAAGTAGAAAGGGTGTTATAAAGCATTTATCCACAAGATTCAAAATGAAATACAGTTAATTTTGTCCGTTTTAAGACATTATTTCAACCTTCAAATTATTTAAAAGAAGTACATCCTATATTTTGTGTGCTTATTCAAAAAAGGCATGGTAATACTTATAAAAAGACTTTAAATATTTTTATAAGTTTTAAATATTTTATAAGTAATTTTATAAATAAAATTACAAACCATTTAAGTGACCTAATTAAATCAAACACACTTTGAGTATGCACATAAGAAAAAAATTAGTTGAAGCATCCTGACTTAAGAAATCCTTGATCTTTCATAAGGTGTCTGAATACTCAATGTCAAAAACACTTATGAAGAATTAAACACTGTTGACCACAAGAGGGAAACCTAGTCCCAGTTATACTATAAATTAGAAAATCAAGGGAAAAATATGTGTCCTGAGAACTTTTGAAATAGTCACATATAAACATAGTATACAAGAAAAAACCAACCGTCATCCCTACCCAAGGACATGTTTGTGGTATGAGTGGTTTTAGTGTTTTGAGTGGACTGGTTCTTGGACTCCACATATTATTGGCTACAGAGATAGAGACTTGATTTAGAAAATCACAGCTGCCACTTTCTAAGTAAGCCCTTGACCAAAAGACTAGATTTCTTTAAACCCAGTTTTCTCAGGTAAAATGGAAATACAACTATTATCTAATAAATATAAGTAAGCTTTAGTGTCATAGTCATAGCAGTAGTATTTTCAATTGGTAAAAAGAAACTGGACCCCAAAAAAGAATTTCAGTGAAAGCAGTAACAGTCTTCTGGCATATTTCTCACCTTTCTTTCTACCTTAAAGGTTCAAAGTTCCTAAGTAATCTCAGAAACCTAAAATAGTTTATTCTCTATCCTCACTATTGGTTTTTAAAAAACATTTTGCAGCATGGACCACTGCTCGTGTACAGATGCTCTCCAACTTAACAATAGGGTTATGTCCCAATAAACCCATTATAACTTGAAAATATCTTAAGCTGAAAATGCATTTAATACACCAATAAACCCATCATAAAGTTGAACAATCATAAGCCAAATTATAAGTCAGAGACCATCTGTATTAGCTTAAGTCTTGGAATGGTTTATTTTTTAGATGCCATTTAGCCACTTATATTCTCTTCTATTTTATTGTGAGAACTAATTCCCCTCTTACATTCTGTGCTTGACCCATGCTATACTTAGTGTGAACAAGAGCCACCTTCTTCTCATGACTTCTATTTTTTTGTGAAAATTTCCTTCACTCATTCACGACATTTGGATTTGAAATCTTACCTACTTAAGTACTTTAAAAAATCATTTTCTACCATCTTTCTTATCAGGAGGCTCTAGTGATTCCTTCTCCACACTTCTAACTTCTCATCTTCACACTCCTTGTCTTCCTAACTTCACTACAGTAAGTGTTTTACATGTTTAGAACTCAGCTCCTTTACTATGATTGCTAACCATGTACCTTAAATAAACCGTCTTCTAGTTTTTTGTTTCTTACTCTCAATTATACCTTTTAGAAAAGAATTAAGAGTAGAAAAAGACTGCTACATAGACATTCTTATGATCTTCAGAAATGAGCACAGATCATGCTTAATGAAAAAAGATTTCCAAACAATGCTGCATATGTCCAGAGAAAAGGTGGCAGAAATGACTGTCGTTTGGGGGCACTATTGTCTGGACATGGCCAGTTCTCAGAACTCCAGTCCCTAAATTCCCTTCTAATTAAAGGAAAAGCCTCTTAAGGGTCTTATAGAAATCCTGCCACTTTCACCTGAAAGAATAATCTTCAGTTATGTGGCACATGGCCAAGAGTAAAAGTCTTTAGTCACTTGGAAGCAGACAGACACTGTAATGCTAAATAATTGGACATAACATGGAACTTACTGAGGCCTCAAATATCAATTTTACTTTGGGAAAAAGAGCAGCATCCTTAAAAGTGATTGAAAGTAACTCAAGTTTATTCCTTAACAGAGTGATGCTTAATCTAACAAAAAACATGTTATATGCACACTCTTCTCCATTACCTTGTAAGAAAACTGGACTAGGAAACACAGCTGAAATGGCCAGTTCTGCCTCCATTTCCTAAACCGTGTTATAATTATGTCTATGTGACCAGTAACAGACAATGACCATGATTTATACTTTTTCATATGTTTGTTGTTTTGTTTTCAATGTTTGTGGTCTTTCCTCAGTATCAGCTAAGAGGCCATTAACACAGATATCTGTTTATGGACATGCGACACTGTTGTTCACCTCTTTTGCAGAATTCATAAAGAAATGATGGGGAAAACACATCAAAGATAGAGTGGATAAAGCAAATGTGCCACATATACACCATGGAATACTATGCAGCCATGAAAAAGAATGAGTTCATGTCCTTTGCAGGGACATGGATGAAGCTGGAAACCATCATTCTCAGCAAAATAACACAGGAACAGAAAACCAAACACTGAATTTTCTCACTCATAAGTGGGAGTTGAACAATGAGAACACATGGACACAGGGGCCTGTTGGGGGGGTGGGGGGCAAGGGGAGGAGAGCATTAGGACAAATACCTAGTGCTTGAGGAGCTTAAAACCTAGATGACGGGTTGATGGGAGCAGAAAACCACCACGGCACATGTATACCTATGTAACAAACCTGCATGTTCTGCACATGTATCCCAGAACTTAAAGTAGAATAAAATAAATAAGTAAATAAGGAATGATGGGACAAACAAGTTTCTGTTATTGTCTCTCTACTGACCAAAGGGTGGTCAGAGAGTATAGGATGAAGCAGATTTGTGATATCCTTGAATAGATCTGCTCTTTACTATGAATTCTATCATCTACTCCCAGCGTATGTGGGAAAGGGACCAACTTACTTGCCTGGAATTTAGTGAAATTGTTTTCTAGGGGGACCAAGAGTTTCCTCTACTTGATATGAAATTGGGTGGTTGAAGATGATAGGATTGGCTTCTGCTTCCATCAGAATCCTAAAGGGCAGGGTATATGGACTAGTTGGTATTGGATCTTGGAAACTGTGATGCATTGGGAATGGTCACACTCCCAGAGTTTGTGGACACAAAGAATGTTTTAGTGTCCCCTACACACCAGACACGGGCCATGAAGGAATCTGAAGAGCCTACCAAACCTTGCACAAGAGAAAAGCTTTACTTGGAACATCATCCAGGCTCAGAGAACACAAATATTTCATTTCCAGTAAGACGTTTCTGGTCTTTTTCTCTTCCTCCCCTTCCCTGAACCTACCCTAGATGAGCTATGGCCTCAAAGTGCCAGTAGAACGTAAGAAGGAAGGAGAACCACACTCATTCCTGCCTTCAACAATTTACACAGGGATAGAAAGAGATTTATATTAAATCAAGTTGGGACTTTCAATTATTATATAGTACCAAACAATCTAATTGCTGAACTAAGATATACTTGTGCAATTTAAGGGAATTGTAGAATAGCATATTAATTAGAATCAAGAAAATAATTCATGAAGTATGCTATAATTCCTACCCAAGCGCAGGAGAATAGCATCTCTAATGAAATTCTCTAAAGAGGCAAGAGCAGGCACAATGAGTTTTTGTTTGATTAAAGATTCCATTTAGTGCTTATCCAACCTAGCAATTACATTTGTATGCTTCAGATGTTTTAAAAAAATAAACAAAAGAAAGTACCTTAAATAAAGAATAGGATCAAATAGTATTTAAACAATTGAGTAAATTAAAAAATTATATGAATTAGATTGATTGAAATTGATACTTTCCTAATTCTCCTCCTTCAACACACAGACACACACACACACAACACGTATGCATACAAACACATCTGAATTCTATAAAATCATTCTGACCTTGATGAGATTCCATAGTTTACTCATGCAACAGAACATAATGTCTAAATGAAGTTTCTGGTCTCTGTTTTACATGGATGATTGAGTAAAATCATTCCCTATTCCTGGAAGAATAGCTAAGAAAGGATTCACAGGTGAGGACATGCGTTTTTTCAGAAGATGAGAACAAAGATGAGAAGATGAGAGCAACAGAATGTCCTATATCCTAATTCTCTGTGCTGACTTCGGAGTGGCCAATATGATAGAGATGGAAGGAACTCTGAAAACAAATTGCCAGAATTTCTAAGGAACAGGAGATGTTGAGTGAGTGAATCAAGCCATGGACTGGCTGTATGGGGGCAGCTATTAGAGACAACTACCCTTAGACTTCTTTGGTGATTGGTCAAGCTAATCTTTTCCTTCAGAGTCTCTCAATTATAAGACTTAGCTTGTGCCATTTAGAACAGACAAGAACACAGAGAATTATAGAACAATCTGACTACAGGTTCTCAAGTTAAAGCAATGAAACTTGTAGTTGGCCGGCAGGAAAATATTCTGAGATGTGGATTCAAAGTTTCTAAGTGTGCACACGTACACACACACACCCCTACCTGCATGCATTTTCTAATTTACAAAGACTAGTCAAGTAAAGAGGGGTAATTTCACACCCCAGGAGGTCTGTATAAAGATAACTCTGGTCTTTAAAGCATCAGGTTTCAGGTAGAGGTGAAGAGAGAATGAATCAAACTCAAACTGCCATCCTCCCAGGTTAAAGATGAGTCCAGTCATCGTGGAGGCCTCTATTAACACAGGACATGCTAGGAAGGCCCATTAACCCACTGCCCTAGCACATTTGTTAACGTCCTAGTGCATTTGTTGATATCAACAGTTCACAGTTTTTATTCTGATAGGGATCTATTCCAGCAGACCAGCTTCTGTGACCTCTCAGGATGCGAAAAAGTAACACAAGAAAAGCTTCTTATGTAGTGAATTGAGAAGGAAATACCTAGATCAATATTCCCTCAGCACCTCTGGTAGGAAGTCCTTAGTAGGAGAAAAACACCATGAAGACCCTTAGTGCAGAAGGAAAAGGGGGTAGGGGGTGGTGGAAGGGAAGCTAAAAGAAGGGGCTGGAGGTTCTCAGAATTCAAACCACACAAACAAATGAAGTATTGAGGTCCCAGACTTGATCTGGGCCCAGTGTGAAAGCCCTAACTTATTTCTCCAGAAGAATATGTCCTCTGGTTTTAGACTTGGCACTGTGGGGAGAACCAGAGTGATCTATGGTGGATATACACACAAACATAGACACACATATTTGCATTTAGTAATTTTTGTAAAATTTCCATTTGCTTCTCTGATCCTGTCTGTATCTTTGGGAATAGATGTAAGAATATTACATCTCTCAGGCTTGCTCTGCCCCAGGTTTCTGAACATGGAATACATTTCTCCAGTGAAACTCAGTATTATGAGATTTGGGAGGTGGAAGTTAGGCCACAGCCATCTCAGGGACAGGTTTCACAGACATGAGTTTTGGCAGCAGCCTTGTGTTCTAAAGACATTTACTCCTAGGGGCTCTAGAGGATCTGCAACATCAGCAGAGGCTTCCTGTGGGTTCCTGATCTTTTAAAATTAGGGGTCTGCAGTGACTTGTGCTCCTCCAGACCCCCTAACAGTTTTAAGGGCTAATTCCCTGTAATATATTCAGTTCTGCTTAGACTGATTACAGGGATTCCTATTTCTTGACTGAATTCTCATGGCTATAGTGTCTCGTCACCATTTGACATCACCAAGAAGTCCTCATTCAGGTGCCTTTGGAAATTCCCTCAAACACACAGGAAATTAGAGTTTGAAAGAAAACGGAGAACCATGAGCACTGTCCAAATAGGAACTTCTCTCCTATCACAGAGAAAGGGAACTGAAAGTCATTTCTCAAGTGTCCCAAATTTAGTAATCTCACAAGAAGAACCAATCAGTGTTCTAGGACTAAACAGTGTCATAAGTTGCTGAGCAACAACTTGGATTGAAGATGCTATTATAATATATGAAATGTCTTTGAATTTACCATGTTTTTCTCAAGCACCATTTAAGAACAAGGCATTATGGCAGCCA
Organism: Homo sapiens; assembly: GCF_000001405.40. Lineage (NCBI taxonomy): Eukaryota > Metazoa > Chordata > Mammalia > Primates > Hominidae > Homo > Homo sapiens. Next base: position 3,678,077 of record NT_167245.2, read on the forward strand.
GCAAAGGGCAGACATAGAAAATTATACATGGTTTTGCCTCTAAAAGAGGAGATGACAAGCTTAAATCATAGGATCAGACTCTTAGCACAGACTGATACCATAGGCTCTCATCTGGCCCATTCTCCTGACTCTTTAACTTTCAGGAAAGGTATTCCTGAAAAATTGCAGGAGAGACCATGCTGTAGGTCTCTTTCTAGCGATCTAGGAGTTAATGCCACAGTGTGTTCAAAGCCCTTTGATGCGATCAGATAATCAGTAATGTATGGAATATTTGTGTTCATAACTTGTGAGAACGGCTGCATGGCAGGACAAGACCCCAGCACAACAGTATGGAAAATCCACCCTAAGCAGACATGTCATGACTGATGTTGAACAATGGACTCACCAGCCAGGCACGGTGGCTCATGCCTGTAATCCCAGCACTTTGGGAGGCAGAAGCAGGCAGATCACGAGGTCAGGAGATCAAAACCATCCTGGTTAACATGGTGCAACCCCGTCTCTACTGAAAATACAAAAAAAAAAAAAAAAAAAATTGGCCGGGCATGGTGGCGGGCGCCTGTAGTCCTAGCTACTCGAGAGGCTGAGGCAGGAGAATGGCGTGAACCCAGGAGGCAGAGCTTTCAGTGAGCCGAGATCGTGCCACTGCACTCCAGCCTGGGCGACAGAGCAAGACTTCCGTCTCGAAAACAAAACAACAACAAAAAAAAACAATGGATTCACCATCCGATGGGCTCCCTCACTGCCAGGTCACTCTTCATGGAAGTATTTGTATTCCAGTCCTTTCTGTGGAAAGAAATTAACATTCTCCTTTTCATAACACTGTATCTTCAGAAACAAGAGAGTCGAAGTCTCCTAATTTTCAGGACTGTCTATGTTGAACATCAAAATATATTCTTTAGAGCAGATCTTTAATAATCATATGACAAAAGAAAAACTTTCATAATCTTATGACATGAGGGAAGGAATATTAAAGCCGTTCTGTGGGTTATTATCTCTAACGTTCCCAATAGAATAGGCTTTGCCAGCTGGGTGCGGTGGCTCATGCCTGTAATCCCAGCACTTTGCGAGGCCAAGGCGGGCAAATCACGAGGTCAGGAGTCTGAGACCAGCCTGACCAACATGGTGAAACCCCGTCTCTACTAAAAATACAAAAATTATCCGGGCATGGTGGTGGGCGCCTGTAATCCCAGCTACTCAGGAGGCTGAGGCAGGAGAATCGCTTGAACCCGGGAGGCGGAGATTACAATGAGCTGAGATCACGCCACCAACTCCAGCTTGGGCGACAGAGCAAGACTCTGTCTAAAAAAAAAAAAAAAAAAAAAGAATAGGCTTTGCCCACTATACTCTCTCATATTCATTGACCTGAATCCTCAAATGAGGTGTGTCCATTAGTCAACTCCAATCTCTTGTCATATATAAGATGGTAGAGATGAGAAGAAGGTAGCTCCTTTACAGCCCACTATTTCCACTAACTACTACCTGTGTTTCAAGATACAGCCTTTCATCCTTCTCCAGTGTTGAGAGTGTTGAACCTCAGAGTTTCTCCTCTCATTTTCTCTAAATGAGATACAATGCCAGCCATCCCAAGCTCTTGGCCTGAGTTGATCATCTTGAAGTCTAGGACTCCAAGAAGCATGAAAGAGCTTCTTTAGTGAAGCTATGTCCTCAGTACTGCCAAAATTCAGACAATCTCCATGGCCTGACAATTTACCTTCTATTTGGGTAATTTATTGTCCCTTACGCAAACTCTCCAACTGTCATTGCACAGACATATGATCTGTATTTAGCTCTCACTTTAGGTGTTTCCATTGATTCTATTCTCACTAATGTGCTTCAGGTATATCCCTGTCTAGAAGTCAGATTGGGGTTAAAGAGTCTGTCCGTGATTGACTAACAGTCTTAAATACTTGATTTGTTGTTGTTGTTGTCCTGTTTGTTTAAGAACTTTACTTCTTTATCCAATGAACGGAGTATCTTGTGTCCTGGACCCTTTGCAAGAACCCTTCCCCTAGCAACAGATGCGTCATCTCAAAATATTTTTCTGATTGGCCAAAGAGTAATTGATTTGCATTTTAATGGTCAGACTCTATTACACCCCACATTCTCTTTTCTTTTATTCTTGTCTGTTCTGCCTCACTCCCGAGCTCTACTGACTCCCAACAGAGCGCCCAAGAAGAAAATGGCCATAAGTGGAGTCCCTGTGCTAGGATTTTTCATCATAGCTGTGCTGATGAGCGCTCAGGAATCATGGGCTATCAAAGGTAGGTGCTGAGGGAATGAAATCTGGGACGATAGACTACGAAGCATTGGAGAAAAGACCTATGGACATTTGGAAGATAATGTGTGGAGTGAAAGAATAGTGTGACAGGTATTATGTGGTCTCGACAGAAAGTATAACAAATTGTGGTTTGGTGGAGTTCTTCCCTCACCACAAACTGAAGTAAGTCAAATTTGGTTTAGAGGGTCAAAACTGAGTTGTGTATTGATGAATAGCACGGTCCTGCTACAAGCCAAACTGGGGGTGGGGGTGGGGGTGGGGGAGGAAGAATATTTTCTGGCAAGCATTAACAAGTTATATTTCTGGGCTTTAATTATTCTTTCTGGAAAATTAGTAAAATTAAAAACTAAAAACCACACATAGTTTTGCTAGAATTAAATGAAAAAAAAAGTTATTAGCCCTGTTCTTATCTGAATACATGATACAGTAGTTATTTTTTGGAGTGTAAATCCTGTCGGTATATATTGAGCACATATATTGTGTTGAAGATTACTAGAAGGAAAAGTCATCAAAAAGCAACAATTTACCCCAGGAAAAGGGGAGGGAAGGCATGCTGATATGAGTTGCCTCATGGGACAGTGATAGCCATTCCCTGCCTTCCCATCTCCATGGTACAGCAGATCTTATATCATGTTAACTTAGTAATATTTCCAAGAGAGTAGAAAAATAAGTAAGGAAATGGGGAATCTGATATTATTCTCTCTCATCTCCAGAGCAACATTGGTGCTGTTGTAAAGATGTACTGTAGAAAAGTATTCTTCACCCAGCGTGACCCCCACAGAAGGTGTCAGGTAGACTTGAAATAAGCAAAGTAATAACCCAGCTCCCATACCCATAGTGGCAATTGTAGATTTCTATTGCCCCAAAAGAGCCATACATAGGGATACTTACCTAGAAAGACAGAGGATCTTCCCTTGGTTTGTGAAGAGGCAGCTAGTATATTTGTGTGTGTTTGCATAGATGCAAACGGTAAATAAATTCCTAGGTTTATCAATACACAGTCAAACATTAAAATCTCTCATCTTGGCTGGGCACGGTGGCTCACGCCTGTAATCCCAGCACTTTGGGAGGCCGAGGCGGGCGGATCATGAGGTCAAGAGATCAAGACCGTCCTGGGCAACATGGTGAAACCCCGTCTCTACTAAAAATACAAAAAATTAGCTGGGTATGGTGGCACACGCCTGTAGTCCCAGCTACTCGGGAGGCTGAGGCAGGAGGATTGCTTGAACCCGGGAGGCGGAGGTTGCAGTGAGCTGAGATGGTGCCACTGCACTCCAGCCTGGCGATAGAGCAAGACTCCGTCTCAAACAACCAAACCAAAACAAAACAAAATATCTCACCTTATCTTTGAAGACTAAGGAAAAAAAAAATCTCCCACTCATCGATACACTCCACAGAGGCAGCATACTCTCCAAGTGTAGCTTTCTCTTTTCATGTTCATTATTCCCTTGGTGTTGGTTATTCTCAATGTCAATCATAACAGAACATCTTCCATAATAACAGTCCCAATTTAAGGAGCATTAAGATAAAAGGTGGAATTGCCAAGGTCAATCCAGACGAGAACCTTCTCATAGAGGTAACCACCGTGTGGGTTTGGATGCTGGGAAGCAGGGGGACTATGACGCTACAAGGTCTCAGTCTTAATTTTTGGAGTACTTCAGTCCCCAGGTATATTTTCCATAGATTTGGCCCTTAAATAAAGAGAAGCTTCTGACTCTAAAATGTAAACAGTGCTTGTTACAGTCTTGTTGATATATTAAGAAATTACTCACCTTATCTCATTTAATCTTAAAAACAAACCCCTGACAGGATCAAAACCACAGCAGGGCTACATAATAGGAAAACTATACATAAATAGGTAGAATAATCTGCTCAGGATCACTAGGTAAGTTGCTGAATAAGAATTCAAGATGTTTTTGATCCCAGAGTTTAAAACCCAACCTTTCAAACAGCGTTTCTTTCTTCTTAGAGTACAATGTTCTGAGAAAGAGATCCTCTGGAATTCTGGCCTAAGTGTATTTAATGCCCGGGTAAAGAAAGTGAGAGAACATTTCTCTTTAGGGGCTGCTGCTGGATTTCTAAAAAGAAAATAATTTCTCAGCTAGTAACATGGAGCCAAACAACAGCTTCACAAGACTCTGGGTTCTTTAGCCCTCATCTCCTTCAATCCACCCTCTTTATAACCAGTCCTTCTTGTTTTTCCCCTCCCAGCTTTGTTCAGCAGCATGCCCTTCACCCAGACCTTGTCTTGTCACTCATCCCTACTCGCCATCATTCTTTCATTCCTCTTGGCCCAATCTCTCTCCACTACTTCCTGCCTACATGTATGTAGGTTATTCATTTCCCTCTCTTGATTCCCCCCACCCAACTCTCTTTCTCCATTTCTTGCCTTTCAGAAGAACATGTGATCATCCAGGCCGAGTTCTATCTGAATCCTGACCAATCAGGCGAGTTTATGTTTGACTTTGATGGTGATGAGATTTTCCATGTGGATATGGCAAAGAAGGAGACGGTCTGGCGGCTTGAAGAATTTGGACGATTTGCCAGCTTTGAGGCTCAAGGTGCATTGGCCAACATAGCTGTGGACAAAGCCAACCTGGAAATCATGACAAAGCGCTCCAACTATACTCCGATCACCAATGGTACCTCCCTCTCTGCTGCACTCCTGGACATGGGAATCCATAGTTTGAAAGTAGTTGCTTCAGCTCTTTGTGTTAGATTATTGTAACTGATTTTCCCTCCAAGGGTCTAACCTTGCCATTAACAAGCCCCAAATTCTCATGCCAGAGGTCTGAGAACTTTATGGGTTTGATCCTATCTTGTTGTGCTCAAGTCTTGTCTCTGTCATCCATGGTCTCCTACGAAGTCATTGCCCTAAGTTCATGCTGGGGGAGCCAGAAGGGAAGTCCTTGGATATCTTATACCTCAATATTGGCTCAATTTCTTGGGGAGGGGGTGCTGTCAGAGATTGTTATCTGAGGATGTGACATAGATTTCTCAGGGCACAATTTCAACTACTTTTTCAGCTTTAGGGTTTTTAGATACGTTTGTACCACAATTGAGCATGGGAGGGAGAGGGGTGAGCCTAAGCAGTGATGGCTGATTTCTGTCATGTCTGTCATGTGTCCCCCAGTACCTCCAGAGGTAACTGTGCTCACGAACAGCCCTGTGGAACTGAGAGAGCCCAACGTCCTCATCTGTTTCATAGACAAGTTCACCCCACCAGTGGTCAATGTCACGTGGCTTCGAAATGGAAAACCTGTCACCACAGGAGTGTCAGAGACAGTCTTCCTGCCCAGGGAAGACCACCTTTTCCGCAAGTTCCACTATCTCCCCTTCCTGCCCTCAACTGAGGACGTTTACGACTGCAGGGTGGAGCACTGGGGCTTGGATGAGCCTCTTCTCAAGCACTGGGGTATGGACCAACACTCAATCTCCTTTATTTCAAGGTTTCCTCCTATGATGCTTGTGTGAAACTCGGTGTTCTAACTGTTTCATAATATCTGCTACAATTAATATAACTGTCTTCTCCTCCTATCCAGCTTCCTCCTTTTTTTAATCTGTAATTCTCTCAATACATCATTCTGTCTTCCTCTTCTTTAATCTATGAATAACTTTTCTCTTTATTAAGAACCCTACATTTGATTCTGAGTGTTACTTCTTCCCACACTCATTACCATGTACTCTGCCTTATTTCCCCCCAGAGTTTGATGCTCCAAGCCCTCTCCCAGAGACTACAGAGAATGTGGTGTGTGCCCTGGGCCTGACTGTGGGTCTGGTGGGCATCATTATTGGGACCATCTTCATCATCAAGGGAGTGCGCAAAAGCAATGCAGCAGAACGCAGGGGGCCTCTGTAAGGCACATGGAGGTGAGTTAGGTGTGGTCAGAGGAAGACATATATGGAGATATCTGAGGGAGGAAAACAGGGTGGGGAAAGGAAATGTAATGCATTTAAGAGACAAGGTAGGAACAGATGTGGCTCTTGATTTCTCTTTGCTAGAACGAATCAGACATTGGTATCATCTGGTATCCCAAAGCTTCAGGGTCTGTCATCCCTTTCTATAGACGGGCACCTTGATCACGGCTCCAGTCTTAGAAATCATCTCCAGTACCTAAAACCATTGTTTCACATTAGAATACTGAGTCTAGGGATCTAGAAAATACATTAGAATATGGAGTCTAGGGATCTAGAAAATACTGAGTCTAGGGATCTAGAAAAATAAGCCTCAAGATTTGGGCACATCCTAGCTTGTATTTCCTGGGGCAGGTCATCAGTTCAGAAGCATTTCCAGATCCTGGCTCCTTTCAGGTTAGGGTCAATTCATTGCATGAAATGGGAATCTCTTAGAGGCCAATGCCTGCTTTTGCTTCTTTAGTCTCAAATGTAGTATGAGAAACTCTAAAAAAAGGTAAAGCATGGTTGCTTATTATGTTCAGTTGGAGAGTAGGAACTAACTGTATACAGTTAGTTCATGTTGGAAAGGTTAGATGAACATTGAAAGAATTTTGCAAAGTCAAAGGATTAAGAGAGAAGAGGAAGGAATCTGAAGCAAGGAGCTCAAAACAGATCTTAAATTCCTTGGTAACTATGTGTGTCTTGCTATAGGTGATGATGTTTCTTAGAGAGAAGATCACTGAAGAAACTTCTGCTTTAATGACTTTACAAAGCTGGCAATATTACAATCCTTGACCTCAGTGAAAGCAGTCATCTTCAGCGTTTTCCAGCCCTATAGCCACCCCAAGTGTGGTTATGCCTCCTCGATTGCTCCGTACTCTAACATCTAGCTGGCTTCCCTGTCTATTGCCTTTTCCTGTATCTATTTTCCTCTATTTCCTATCATTTTATTATCACCATGCAATGCCTCTGGAATAAAACATACAGGAGTCTGTCTCTGCTATGGAATGCCCCATGGGGCATCTCTTGTGTACTTATTGTTTAAGGTTTCCTCAAACTGTGATTTTTCTGAACACAATAAACTATTTTGATGATCTTGGGTGGAATTTTTGGTGTTTAAGCCAGTTCTTTGGGTGGCGGTGGGGGGTGGGGAGTCGGTCCTGGGGAATATATGTGATCCTTTCCCGGTAAAATATCTGAATGTTGAATTTATCTTATAAATTCTAGAATTCATCAGACATATCCCGGTTCATTTGGGCTTGGTCTCATTTTGTGCATCTGCAGGCAACCCTCTTGTTGTGGTCTAGTCCTCATCAGGAAAACCTAAAGTGGGGTTGGTTTGTTGGGAGATCTCTACTGAGCAATGATATAACTCTGTCTTCAGTAGAGTGAATCTGAAACCCCAAGGTATGGATCTCAGAATGCATGGGATAGAGGGGAGCAGATGGGGTTAGAGTGGGGAGAAGGAAGACAGAAGAATCCATAAACATTGCAGGATTTACATATCAACATCGTTCATTCCAGATTTAATGAGCAAAGAGGTTGGACACTGAAGACTGGCCTTACCCATTCTGTTAGACATAGTCTCAGATGCCTATTTTATTACCGAGAGAGTAGTCTGACTGATTCTTGAAACCACCTTATATTTGAAGATGTGTCTTTGAGTGGAAAAGCTGAGTGAAATTTGGGGTTGGGGAGAAAGATATGACATTAAGATGAGAGGAAGGAATATTTGAAACACAATGAACTGTTGCTCATTTGTCTATAAAACTATGACTTGATATTTATCTCTAAAATAGTTTCTAGAACCTGCCATAAACCACTAAGATAAACTATTCATGATAGTGTGGTAGACTGCAAATAAATGCTGTTGAAATGAGTTAGGCTTGGGTTTCATCTTGGCTGTATCATTTACTAGCTATGTTTTCACTGGTATCTTACTTAACTTAGCCTCACATTACTCATGAAAATACTGGTGTTAATTTTTACTACATTGAATTAATATCAGAATTAAAAGGAAAACGCAAGCAAAGTAATTAGATACATGCTTAGTGATAATAAAATATTGCAAAAAATTATACATTCTGTTGTTTTTCTCAAAATTTCTATAGACTGATGATAAAAATCTAAGAGAAGCTAAACAAAACAAGGATAAACCAAAGCATCATGACATTCTAAGCCTTACTAATAAATAAGAAGTTTCTCGGCTGGGCACGGTGGCTCACGCCTGTAATCCAGCACTTTGGGAGGCCGAGGTGGGAGGATCACAAGGTCAGGAAATCAAGACCATCCTGGCCAACATGGTGAAACCCCATCTCTACTAAAAATACAAAAATTAGCCAGGCGTGGTGATAGGCGCCTGTAATCCCAGCTACTCTGGAGGTTGAGGCAGGAGAATCTCTTGAATCCGGGAGGCAGAGGTTGCAGTGAGCCGAGATCGCACCACTGCGCTCCTGCCTGGCAACAGACTGAGACTCCGTCTCAAAAAAAAAAAAAAAAAAAAAGTTTCTCTACTGTTGGTTCAGAGAATCAAAGCAGAATCTTGAGACTACTGATGGTAGAATAGGTACGAGTGTCTTTCTTACATGACTACAAACTTTATTATAAAATAAATAGCTTAACACAGAGAATACACTAAAACTTAGACAAGCATGGATTAAGAAAGCAAAAAGTAAACCCATATACTACCATGTAAGAAAACCATTTTTGGCCAGGCGCGGTGGCTCACGCCTGTAATCCCAGCACTTTGGGAGGCCGAGGCGGGCGGATCACGAGGTCAGGAGATCGAGACCATCCTGGCTAACATGGTGAAACCCCGTCTCTACTAAAAAAAAAAAAAAAAAATTAGCCGGGTGTGGTGGCGGGTGCCTGTAGTCCCAGCTACTCGAGAAGTTGAGGCAGGAAAATGGCGTGAACCCAAGAGGCAGAGCTTGCAGTAAGCCGAGATCGCACCACTGCACTCCAGCCTGGGCGACAGAGCGAGACTCCATCTCAAAAAAAAGAAAAAAAAAAAAAAAAAAAAAAAGGAAAACCATTTTAATAGACTTTTATTTTTAGAGCTGTTTTAAGCTAACAGAAAAATTGCAGAAATTGTATACAGAGCTCCCCCACCCCCAGTTTCTACAATGCTTAACATCCTGTATTAATGTGGTACACTTGTTACAATTGATGAACCAATACTAATAATTATTATTAACTAAAATTCATAGTTATACGAGGGTTCACTCTGCATTACACAGTTATATGGGTTCTGACAAATACATAATATCATATATCCACCATTACAGGATTAAACAAAATAGCTTCACTGATCTAAAAATGACCCAGGCTCCATCTACTCATCCTTCCTTCCTCCCTCTGAGCCATTGGCATTCTCTGAGCTATTTACTAGTGTTTTGCCTTTTTCAGAATGTCACATACTTGTAATCATACAGTATAGAGCTTTTTCAGATGAGATTCTTTTGCTTAGCCATATGCATACAGGTTTCCTGCATATATTGTCATAGCTTGATAGCTTATTTTTCTTTAATGTTAAATAATACTCCATTGTATAAATGTACTATGGTTTATTTACCCATTAATCTATTGAAGGACATCTTGGTTGCTTCTAATTTTTGGCAATTATGAATAAAGCTGCTATAAACATCCATGAACAGATGTTTGTGCAGACACAAGTTTTCCACTTTGGATAAATACATAGAAGGGCAATTGCTGGATCATATGGTAAGAGTATGTTTAGCTTTGTAAGAAACAACTAGAATATCTTCCAAAATGGCTGTATCATTTTGCATTCCTACCAGCAATGAATGAGAGTCCCTGTTGTTCTATATCCTTGCCAGCATTTGGTATTCTGGGGTTTGGGATTTCAGCAAGAAAGCCATTTTAATATTTTTTTATTTTAAAATAATTATAGATTCATGGGAAATTGCAAAGACAGTATAGAGACATTCTGCATACGCCTTCACCCAGTTTCTCCAAATGTTTATATTTTAAGTAATTATAGCACAGTAGCAAAACCAAGAAAATACCTTGATACAATGTGTGTGTATAGTTTTATGCATATGTCTTATCACATTTGTAGATTCACGTAACCACCACCACAATCAAGCACAGAGCTATTCCATATCACAGAGATCTTCGTCATGCTTCCCTTTATAGCCAAATTCCCCCCACACAATCACCTTAACAACTTAAAACCACTAATTTCTTTGCTATTAATCTCTAGAATAGTGTCATTTTGAAAATACTAGTTAAATAGAATCACGCAGTATGTGACTGGTGTTTTTCACTTAGCATAATACCCATGAGATCCATCCAAGCTGCTGCATATATCGACAATCTTTTTTTTTCTTTATTGCTAGGTAGTATTCCATGGTCTAAATGCAGCACAGTTTGCTTAACTATTTGCCTATTGAAGGACATTTTGGCTGTTTCTAGTTTGGGATCACTATAAATAAAGCTGTTTTGAACAAGTGTTTAAGGTTTTTCTATGAGCATGAGTTCATGAGTTTTCATTTCTCTGGTATAAATGTCTGGGATATAATTCATGGGCATATGGAAATATATGTTTAGTTTTTCAAGAAACTGCCAAACTTAGCCAAGTATGATGGCTTATACCTGTAATCCCAGCACTTTGGGAGGCCAAGGAGGAAGGATAAATTGAGGCCAGGAATTTGAGGCCAGCCTGACAGCATAGCAAGACCCCAGCGTCTACATTTTTTTTTTTTTGAGACAGAGTCTCTCTGTTGCCAGACTGGAGTGCAGTGATGCGATCTTGGCTCACTGCAACCTCCGCCTCCCAGGTTCAAGCAATTCTTCTGCCTCAGCCACCCGAGTAGCTGAGACTGCAGGTGCACACCACCACGCCCAGCTAATTTTTGAATTTTTTGTAGAGACAGGGTTTCACCATGTTGGCCAGGATGGTCTTGATCTCATGACCTCTTGATCCGCTTGCCTTGGCCTTCCAAAGTGCTGAGATTACAGGCATGAGCCACCGTGCCTGGCCAAATGTTTTGTTTTTGTTTTTGTTTTTTGTCAGGTGGATGAGGTGGCATGCCCCTATAGTCACAGCTACCTGGGAGGCTGAGGTGGGAGGGTTGCTTGAGCCCAGGAATTCGAGGCTGCAGTGAGCCACTGCACTTCAGCCTATCTGACAGAGCAAGATCCTGTCTCCAAAAGGAAGGAAGGGAGGGAAGGAGGAAGGAAGGAAGGAAGGAAGGAAGGAAGGAAGGAAGGAAGGAGAAAAAAGAAGGGAAGGAGGGAGGAAGGAAGGGAGGGAGGGAGGAAAAAAGAAAGGAAAGAAGAAAGGAAGTTAAAAAGAAGGGAGGGAGGGAGGAAGGAAGAAAGGAAAGATAGAAGAAAGGAAGGAAGGGAGGGAGGAGAAAGAGAAAGAAAAAGAAGGAAGGAAGAAGGGAAGGAGGGAGGGAAGGGAGGAAGGGAGGAAGGGTGAAAGGAAGGAAGGAAAGAAGGAAGGAGAAAGAAAAGGAAGAGAGAAAGAGAAAGAAAAAAGAAAGAAGAAGGAAAGAAAGAAAGAGAGAGAAAGAAAGGAAAGAAAGGAAGGAAGGAAAGAAGAAAAGAAAAAGAAAAAGGAAGGAAGGAAAGAAGGAAGGAAGGAAGAAAGAAAGAAGGAAGGAAGGAAGGAAAGAAAGAAAGAGAAAGAAAGAAACTGATAAACTATTCCCTAATTGCTTTGTGGGAGTATGGCCACTTTCATCATATTGATTTTTCCTTTCTTTTTTTTGAGATAGAATCTGGCTCTGTCGCCCAGGCTGGAGTGCAATGGCGCGATTTCGGCTCACTGAAACCTCCGCCTCCTGGGTTCAGGTGATTCTCCTGCCTCAGCCTCCCTAGTAGCTGGGATTACAGGCACACACCATCACGCCTGGATAATTTTTTTGTATTTTTACTAGAGATGGGGTTTCACCATGTTGGCCAGGCTGGTCTCAAATTCCTGACCTCAGGTGATTCGCCTGCCTTGACCTCTGGGAGTGCTAGGATTACAGATGTGAGCCACCGCGCCCAGACAATACTGATTCTTCCTTTTCCATGAACATGATATTTTTTTCCATTTATTTGTGTCATCTCTGATTTCTTTGAGCAGTGGTTTGCAGTTTTCCTTGTAGAGATCTTTCTCCTCCCTGGTTAGCTGTATTCGTAGGTATTTTGTGTGTGTGTGGCAATCGTGAATGGGATTATGTTCCTGATTTGGCTCTCAGCTTGACTGTTGTGTATAGGAATGTTAGTAATTTTTCCACATTAATTTTGAATGCCAAGACTTTGCTGAAGTTGTTCATTAGCTTAAAGAGCTTTTGGGCTGAGACTATGGGTTTTTCTTGATATAGGATCATGCCATCTGCAAATAGGCATAGTTCAACTTCCTCTCTTCCTGTTTGGATGCCCTTTAATTCTTTTTGTTGCGTGATTGCCCTGGTCAAGACTTCCAATACTATGTTGGATAGGAGTAGTGAGAGAGGGTATCCTTGTCTTGCGCTGGTTTTCAAGGGGAATGCTTCCAGCTTTTTCCCATTTAGTATGGTATTAGCTGTGGGGTTGTCACAGAAGCCTCTTATTATTTTAAGTTATGTTCACTTAATACTCAGTTTATTAAGAGTTTTTAACATGAAGGGATATTGAATTTTATCAAAAACCATTCCTGCATATATTGAGCTAATCATGTGGCTTCTGTCTTTAGTACTGTTTATGTAATGAATCAAATTTATTGATTTGCATATGTTGAACTAACCTTGCATCACCAAGATAAAGCATACTTGATCATTGTAGATTAGCTTTTTAATGTACTGCTGGATTCGGTTTGCCAGTATTTTGTGGAGGATTTTTGCATCAATCTTCATCAATAATATTTGCCTGAAGTTTTCTTTTGTGTGGGTGTCTGCCAGGTTTTGGTGCTGATCATGATGATACTGGCCTCATAGAATGAGTTAGAGAGGTATCCCTCTTCCTCAATTTTTTGGAATAATTATAACAGGAATGGTACCAGCTCTTCTTTGTACATCAGGCAGAATTCAGCTGTGAATTATTCTAGTCCTAGGGTTTTTTTTGTTTGGTAGTCTACTTATTACTGATTTAATTTCTGAGATCATTATCTGTCTATTCAGGGATTCAATTTCTTCTTGGTTCTGTCCTGGGAGGGTGTATGTGTCCAGAAATTTATCAATTTCTTCTAGGTTTCCTAGTTTATGTGCATAGAGGTGTTTTTAAATATTCTCTGATGGTTATTTGTGTTTCTGTTGGGTCAGTGGTAATATCCCCATTGTCATTTCTGAGTGTGATTATTTGAATCTTCTCTCTTTTCTTCTTTATTAGTCTAACTAAAGGTCTATTTTTTTATTAATTTTTTTAAGAAACCAATTCCTGGATTCATTGATCTTTTGAGTGTTTTTTTTTTTTTCTGTCTCAATCTCCTTTAGTTCAGCTCTGATTTTGGTTATTTCTTGTCTTCTGCTAGCCTTGATATTGGTTTGTACCTGGTTGACCAGTTCTTTTAGTTGTGATGTTAGGTTGTTAAATTGAGGTCTTTCTAACTTTTTCATGTGGGCATTTGATGCATAAATTTCCCGCTTAACACTGCCTTAGCTGTGTCCCAGAGATTCTGGTATGTTGTATCGTTGTTCTCATCAGTTTTAAAGAACTTCTCAATTTCTTCCTTAATTTCATTATTTGCACAAAAGTCATTCAGGAGCAGGTGGTTCAAATTCCATGTAATTGTAGAGTTTTGAATGAATTTCTTAGTCTTAATTTCTAATTTGATTGCACTGTTGTCTGAAAGATTGTCTTTTATGATTTCAGTTCTTGTGCATCTGCTGAGGAGTATTTGACTTCCAATTATGTGATCAATTTTAGAGTACATGCCATGTGGTGATGAGAAGAATGTGTATACTGTTGTTTTGGTGTGGATAATTCTATAGATGTCTATCAGGTCCATTTGATTCAGTGCTGAGTTCAAGTCCTGAATATCTTTGTTAATTTTTTGTCTCGATGATCTGTCTAATATTATCAGTGAGTTGTTAACATCTCCAAGTATTATTGCGTTGGAGTCTAAGTCTCTTTGAAGGTCCCTAAGAACTTGCTTTATGAATCTGGGTGTTCCTGTGTTGGGTGCTGATCGGGTTTGGCTGTGTTCCCATCCAAATCTCACCTTGAATTGTAGCTCCCACAATTCTCACATGCCACGGGAGGCAGCTGGTGGGAGGTAATTGAATCATGGGGACGGGTCTTTTCCATGCTATTCTCATGATAGTGAATAAGTCTCATGAGATCTGATAGTTTTATAAAGAGGAGTTTCCCTGCACAAGTTCTCTTGTCTTGTCTGCCACCACGTGAGATGTGATTTTCACCTTCCATCATGATTGTGAGGCATCCCTAGCCATGTGGAACTGTAAGTCCATTAAATTTCTTTCTTTTGTAAATTTCCCAGTCTCAGGTATATCTTTGTCAGCAGCATGGTAACAGACTAATAGAGGAGAGTGGAGCACTGCTGAAAAGATACCTGAAAATGTGGAAGTGACTTTGGAACTGGGTAACAGGCAGAGGTTGGAACAGTTTGGAGGGCTCAGAAGAAGATAGGAAAATGTTGGAAATTTTGGAACTTCCTAGAGACTTGTTGAATGCCTTTGCCCAAAATGCTGATGGTGATGTGGACAATAAAGTCCAGGCTAAGGTAGTCTCAGATGGAAATGAGGAACTGTTGGGAACTGGAGCAAAGGTGACTCATTATGTTTTAGCAAAGAGACTGGTGGCATTTTGCCCCTCTCCTAGAGATTTGTGGAACTTTAAACTTGAGAGAGATGATTTAGGGTATCTGGCAGAAGATATTTCTAAGCAGCAAAGCATTCAAGAGGTTACTTGCATGCTGTTAAAGCCATTCAGTTTTATAAGGGAAGCAGAGCATAAATGTTTGGAAAATTTGCAGCCTGACAATGCAATAGAAAAGAAAATCCAATTTTCTGAAGATAAATTCAAGCCGGCTGCAGAAATTTGCATGGGTAATGAGGAGCTGAATGTTAATCATTAAGACAATGGGGAAAATGTCTCCAAGGCATGTCAGAGGTTTTTTTTTTTTTTTTTTCAGAGTCTTGCCCTGTCGCCCAGGCTGGAGTGCAGTGGCATGATCTCGGCTCACTGCAAGCTCTGCCTCCCACGTTCATGCCATTCTCCTGCCTCAGCCTTCCGAGTACCTGGGACTACAGGCACCCGCCACCACGCCTGGCTAATTTTTTGTATTTTTAGTAGAGACGGGGTTTCACCATGTTAGCCAGGATGGTCTCGATCTCCTGATCTCATGATCCACCCACCTCGGCCTCCCAAAGTGCTGGGATTACAGGCATGAGCCACCATGCCTGGCCATGTCAGAGGTCTTGACGGCAGCCCTGCCCATCACGGGCCTGGAGGCCTAGGAGGAAAAAATGGTTTCTTGGGCTGGGCCCAGTGTCCCCGTGCTGCATGCGGTCTTTGGACTTGGTGCCCTGTGTCTCAGCCGCTCCAGCTGTGACTAAAAGGGGCCAACATAGAGCTCAGGCCACAGCTTCAGAGGATGCAAGCCCCAAGCCTTGGCAGCTTCCATGTGGTGTTGAGCCTACGGGTACACAGAAGTCAAGAGTTGAGGTTTGGGAACCTCCACCTAGATTTCAGAGGATGTATGGCAATGCCTGGATGTCCAGGCAGAAGTTTGCTGTCTGGGCAGGGCACTCATGGGGAACCTCTGCTAGGGCAGTGCAGAAGGGAAATGTGGAGTGGGCACCCTCACACAGAGTTCCCAATGGGGCAGTGCCTAGTGGAGTTTTGAAAAGAGGAACACCATCCTCCAGACTCCAGAATGATGGATCCACTGACAGCTTGCATCATGCACTGGAAAAGCTGCAGACACTCAATGCCAGCACATGAAAGCAGCTTGGAGGGAGGCTATATCCTGCAAAGCCACAGAAGCGGAGCTGCTCAAGAACAGGGGAACCCACCTCTTGCATCAGTGTGACCTGGATGTGAGATATGGAGTCAAAGGAGGTCATTTTTTGGAGTTTAAGATTTAAGTGCTCTGCTGGATTTCAGGGTTGCATGGAGCCTTTAAGTCCCTTCATTTTGGCCAGTTTCTTCCATTTGGAATGGGTACATTTATCCAATGCCTGTACCCTCATTGTGTCTAAGAAGTAACTAGCTTGCTTTTGGTTTTACAGGCTCATAGGCAGAAGGGACTTGCCTTGTCTCAGATGAGAATTTGGACTGTGGATTTTGAGTTAATGTAGAAATAAGACTTTGGGGTACTCTTGAGAAGGCATGATTGGTTTTGAAATGTGAGGACATGAGATTTGGGAGGGGCCAGTGGTGGAATGATACCTTTTGGCTCTGTCCCCACCCAAATCTCACCTTGAATTGTAGGTCCCATAATACCCACGTGTTGTGGGAGGGACCTGGTGGGAGGTAATTTAATCATGGGGTAGGTCTTTCCCATACTATTCTTGTGATAGTGAATAAGTCTCATGAGATTTGATGGTTTTATGAAGGGGAGTTTCCCTGCACAAGTCCTCTTCTCTTGTCTGCTGCCATGTGAGATGTGCTTTTCATCTTCCACCATGATTGTGAGGCCTCCCCAGCCATGTGGAACTGTGAGTCCATTAAACCTCCTTCTTTTATAAATTGCCCAATCTCAAGTATGCCTTTATTAGCAGCATGATAATAGACTAATATAGATGAATATATATTTAAGAAATGGATAAATTCCTGGACACATACACCCTCTCAAGACTGAACCAGGAAGAAACTGAATTCCTAAACAGACCAATAATGAGTTCTGAAATTGAGTCAGTAATAAAAAGCCTACCAACTAAAAAAAGCCTGGGACCAGATGGATTCACAGCTGAATTCTACCAGATGGATAAAGAAGACCTGGTCCTATTCCTATTAAAATTATTCCAAAAAAATTGAGGAGAAGGGATGACTCCCCAATTCATTCTGAGGCCAGCATCACCCTGACACCAAAACCAGTATATCAACAACAAAAAAAGAAAACTTCAGGCCAATATTCTTGATGAACATAGATGCAAATATCCTTAACAAAATACTAACAAACCAAATCAAGCAGCACATCAAAAGTTAATGTACCATGATCAAGTAGATTTTACCCCTGGGATGCAAGGTTAGTTCAACATATACAAATCAACAAATGTGATCCATCACATAGAGCAGAATGAAAGACAACAACCACCTGATCATCTCAATAGATGTGGAAAAGGCTTTTGATAAAATTCAACAGCACTTCATGTTAAAAATGCTCAGTTCACACCTGTAATCCCAGCACTTTGGGAGGCTGAGGTGGGCGGATCACAAGGTCAGGAGATTGAGACCATCCTGGCCAACATGGTGAAACCCTGTCTCTACTAAAAATGAAAACTTAGTTGGGCATGGTGGCATGTGCCTGTAGTCGCAGCTACTCAGGAGGCTGAAGCAGGAGAATTGCTTGAACCCAGAAGGCGGAGGTTGCAGTGAGCCAAGATCGTGCCACTGCACTCCAGCCTGACAACAGAGAAAGACTCCATCTTAAAAAAAAAAAAAAAGCTCTGTAAACTAGGCATTGGAGGAACATACTTCAAAATAATAAGAGCCATCAATGACAAACCCACAGCCAACAACATAGTGAATGGGCAAAAGCTGGAAGCATCGCTCTTGAAAATTAGCAGGAGACAAGGATGCCCTCTTTCACCACTGTTTTTTTTTTTTTTTTTTTTTGGAGACAGAGTCTTGCTCTGTCACCAGGCTGGAGTAGTGCAGTGGCGTGATCTCAGCTCACTGCAACCTCCGCTTCCCAGTTTGAAGCAATTCTCCTGCCTCAACCTCCCAAGTAGCTGGGACTACAGGCACATGCCACCACACCTGGCCATTTTTTTTTTTTTTTTTTAGTAGAGACCAGGTTTCATCATGTTAGCCAGGATGGTGTTGATATCCTCACCTCGTGATCCACCCACCTCAGCCTCCTAAAGTGCTGGGATTACAGGTGTAAACCACTGTGCCCGGCCCTCCCTCACCATTCTTATTCAAGATAGTATTGGAAGTCCTGACCAAAGCATCAGGCCAGAGAAAGAAATAAAGGGCATTCAAAGAGGAAGAGTGGAAGTCAAACTATCCCTGTTTGCAGATGATATGATCCTGTGTCTAGAAAACCCTAAATCTCCAAATCTTGGCCCAAAAGTTCCTTTAGCTGATAAATAACTTCAGCAAAGTTTCAGGATAAAAAAAAAATCAACATATAAAAATCAGCAGCATTCCCATACACAAAGAACACTCAAGCCGAGACCCATATCAAGAATATAATCCCACTCACAATTTCCACACACACACATATTACCTAAGAATACAGCTAACTATGGAGGTGAAAGATCTCTACAAGAAGAACTACAAAACACTGCTCAGAGAAATCAGAGATGACACAAACAAATGGAAAAAATTATCATGCTCATGGATAGGAAGACTCAATATCATTAAAATGGCCATACTGCCCAAAGTAATTTATAGATTCAATGCTATTCCCATTAAACTACCATTGACAGTCTTCACAGAACTAGAACAAACTACTTTAAAATTCATATGGAAGCAAAACAGAGCCTAAATAGCTAAGGCAATCCTAAGCAAAAGAATAAAGTAAGAGGTACTATGTTACTCAACTTCAAACTATACTATGAGGCCACAGTAACCAAAACAGCATGGTACTGGTACAAAAGCAGACACACAGACAAATGGAACAGAATAGAGAGTCCAGAAATAATGCTGTACAACTCCAACCATCTGATCTTTGACAAAGATGACAAAAACAAGCAATGAGGAAAGGACTCCTCATTCAATAAACGGTGCTATACTAACTGGCTAGCCATATGCAGAAGACTGAAGCCGGACTCCTACCTTACACCATATACAAAAATCAACTTAAAATGAATTAATGACTTAAATGTAAAACCTAAAATCATAAAAACCCTGGAAAGTAACCTAGAATATACCATTCTGAACATAGGACTTGGCAAAGATTTCATGGCAAAGACACCAAAAGCAATCACAACAAAAACAAAAATTGACAAATGGGACCTAATTTAACTTAAGAGCTTCTGTGCAGTAAAAGAAACTATCGACAGAGTAAATAGAAAACCTAGAGAATGGAGAAAATGTCAAGTCCTAATTCAGGAAAAGGAGTCAGGCTGGTGGAACCAGAAGAAAGCAAAGAGGTAAAGCAAATAAGCTATAAGTCTGTCTGTCTTCATGGTCCAGGACACACAGCCCTCCTGTGCAAATAACTCACAGTCTTCCTGTGCCCAACTATCATCAGACATCCGTAAGCTAGCTCACTGCAACCCTGGCATTATTGCTACTGCACATAGCACTCTGCAGCCTAAGAATCATCCTATAAAATCTCCTGCAAGCCTTTGTTTCCGTGAAGTCAGCTTCTCTTCTGCTGGCCTGCCTGTTGCTTCCTCACAACGTATTTTCCTACTTTCTCTAATAAATCTGCTTTTTTCTACCTACAACTGCCTTGGTAAATTCTTTTACCCTGGCGCCACTGGCCCAGATAGTTATTGCTCACCTGCGACAGAAAATATTTGCAAACTATGCATCTGACGAAGGTCTAATATCCAGAATCTATAAGGAACTTAAACAAATTTACAAGAAAAAAACCAAACCTCATTAAAATATGGGCATGAACAGACATGAACAGACACTTTTCAAAAGAAGACATACATGCAGCCAACAAATATAGGAAAAAATTTTCAACAGCACTAATTATTAGAGATATGCAAGTCAAAATCACAATAAGATACCATCTCATACCAGTGTGAATGGCTACTATTAAAAAGTCAAAAAATAACAGATGCTGGTGAGGTTGCAGGGAAAGAGAATGCTTATACACTGCTAATAGAAATGTAAATTAGTTCAGCCATTGTGGAAAGCAGTGTGGTGCAAAGAACTAAAAAGAAAATTACCATTTGATTCAGCAATCCCATTACTGTGTATATACCTAAAGGAATATAAACCATTCTACCATAAAGACACATGCACACATATGTTCATTGCAGCACTGTTCACAATAGCAAAGACATTGAATCGACCTAGATGCCCATCAACAGTGGACTGGTTAAAGGAAACGTGGTACATATACACCATGGAATACTATGCAGCCATAAAAAGAATGAGATTGTGTCCAGAATTGGTTCCTTCCAGTGGGTTCTTGGTCTCGCTGAATTCAAGAATGAAGCCATGAACCCTTGTGGTGAGTGTTACAGTTCTTAAAGATGGTGTGTCCGGAGTTTGTTCCTTCAGATATTCAAATGTGTCCCAAGTTTCTTCCTTCTGGTGGGTTCGTGGTCTTGCTGATTTCAGGAGTGAAGCCGCAGACCTTTGCTGTGAGTGTTACAGCTCTTAAAGGTGGTGCATCCGGAGTTGTTCGTTCCTCCCAGTGGGTTTGTGGTCTTGCTGACATCAGGAGTGAAGCTGCAGACCTTCACAGTGAGTGTTACAGCTCTTAAAGGTGGTGCATCCTGAGTTGTTCGTTCCTCCTGGTGGATTTGTTGTCTTGCTGGCTTCAGGAGTGAAGCTGCAGACCTTCGCAGTGAGTGTTACAGCTCATAAAGGTAGTGCGGACCCAAAGAGTGAGCAGCAGCAAGATTTATTGCAGAGTGAAAGGACAAAGCTTCCACAGTGTGGAAGGGGACCTGAGTGGGTTGCAGCTGCTGGCTGGGGTGGCCAGCTTTTATTCCCTTATTTGGCCCTGTCCACATCCTGCTGATTGGTCCATTTTACAGAGTGCTGATTGGCACGTCTATAAACTTTTAGCTAGACACAGAGCACTGATTGGGGCGTTTCTACAGAGTGCTGATTGGTGCATTTACAAACCTTTAGCTAGATGCAGAGTGCTGATTGGTGTGTTTTCACAGAGTGCTGATTGGTGCTTTTACAATCCTTTAGCTAGACAGAAAAGTTCTCCAAGTCCCCGCCCAACCCAGATGCCCAGCCAGCGTCACCTCTCAAGATCATGTCCTTTGCAGGAACATGGATGGAGCTGGAGGCCATTATCTTATGCAAACTAACATAGGGACAAAAAACCAAATACCACATGTTCTCACTTATAAGTGGGAACTAAACATTGAGTACACATGGATACAAAGAAGAGAACAGTAGATGTGGGGACCTACTTGAGGGTGAAGGATAGGAGGAGGCAAAGGATCAGGAAAAATACCTGTGAGGTACTATGCTTATTACCTTGGTGATGAAATTATCTGTACATCAAACACACCTGACATGCAGTTTACCTATAGAGCAAACCTGCACATGTATCCCTAAAACTAAAATAAAAGTTCAAAATAAAAAAGAAAGAAATTAGTCTAATACTTTTTTCTCAGTGAAATGCTTATGCAAACAAATATGATACACTTTTATTTCAGAGATTTCGGGATTATAAAGGGTGTGACCAAGGACAGTTTGTGACTAGCCTCCTCACATTATCATTTCTCATCTCTTCTCCCCTAAACTTTCATGCCAACAGCAGACTAGGTAAGTTTCCCTTTCCTGCATCTCTAATGACCCAGGGCGATTAAGGTCTCCTTCTCCAGCCCCCTGCACCACCATTCCCACTCCCCTCTCATCTCATCTCTTCCCAGAAGGCTGGAAGGACAAGCTGAAGCTCCCTCCTGTGTTCCCTCCCACAACAGACACACAGACAAATCCCCACTCTACACTCGCCTACCTGAGCCCTCCTAATTCCTTCTGGCTCACAATCCTACACTCTCCCACAGGGTGCTTACGTGTGCATACACACACACTCCCTGTTCTCAGGGACCCTACTCCCCTCCCCCACCCGCCTTGCTCACCTCGCCTCTGCATGGAGAAGCTCTCAAAAACCCCGTAGTTGTGTCTGCAGTAGGTGTCCAACAGACCCCGCAAGCAGCCCAAGAGGTTCTTCTGGCTGTTTGTATTCCTGGACTCTTCTCCGCTCCAGCTCCGCCACCTCCCGGAACTTTCCGACGTCCCTATGGAAGCGCGCATACTCCTTCCGGTGTGGACGAGTCTCTGCACAAACCGCATCCGCTCTGTCCCATTGCAGAAATAGCACTCATGTTTAATCTGCTCCAAGAAATGTGCCGCGGGGACATGAAGAACCGGTTTCTCGGGCAGCATCCTAGGAAAAGAGTGATGGCTATGCCCACAATCAGCAGGGCGCGGGGCGGAACACCTTGACTGGCCCCCACCAGCCACCCCCGACCACCTAGGGGTTCGTCTTCCATCTGCCTGAGGCGGAGGGAGGCTGCGAGGGGCGTGGAATACCATTTGGGATCCGCTACCCATTTCCGACCTGAGCTGGACGCGTCTTTGCAAGGCTCTGGATCAGGATCACCTTCCTCATCACTGTCTCCTGCGCTTCCTCCTCCTGGGAGCCTCCATCCAAAAGACACTTCTGCTCCCTCCTATCATGCCACACTCTACTCATTCCTTAAACAAGACCCACTGCCTCCATTCTGTAAATGCTTCCTTAGTGCTTACCTTGTGTCTCATCTGTGCTGTCTCCTGGGAATCCAAACGGGAAAAATAGACCTCATCCCTCCGCTGGAGGAGCTTAAAGAGAAGTGAAATTGATGGCAAAAAACCAAACACGCAACACCTTATACAGGAACGAAAAATGTTAAGAGAAGTGTGGAGTTCTAGAAGAAAGAATAGGATGATCTAAATTACATTAGGGTGCCAGAGAAGGACTCTGAGAGTGACAGCTCAAATGTTACCTTACAGGTTTAGTGGGTGTGAGCCAGGGGGCAGAGTGGAGCCCGTGTGTGTCTCTGGACAAAAAGGGAGGCACATTTCAGGTAAGCATAATATCATGTACAAAAGCTTGAAAGAATTGATGAACTTCTTCAAGAAACCAGAAAAAAGTTCACTAAAGCACAGCATGAAGGAAAGGAGGGGAAAAGATTAAACTGGAGAAATCACAAGAAGGGAACAATTAAAATCATTGTCATGTTAGGATTTCGATTTATACTAAATGTAATGGGAAGCAGTTGAAGAGTCCATGACCCCAACACAGGTCCACAAACTTTTTTTTTTGGACTTTCTAAATCCAGAAAACTCACGAATTCACTTGCTGTTGTTTTTAATTTGTTGCCGAAACTCATTTGGCAAATCTGATCTGAAGAGGTAAGGACTCAAAAGTGTCACAGAGCTCTTACTGGTGACATGTGCATCTGTAGTTTCAATATATATAAACATACAAACATACGTATGCATGTGTAAATATACACAGATTTCAAATACTGTGCATGTATATATTTTTGATGTTTTTGTATTTATGTTTAAATGAACTATGAAAAATAAAAAATAAAGAAAAATCCTTGTGTTTAATAAAATGAGATGAATAGAAAGCATTTTTAAAATAATAATTTTTTTTTTAAGTTCTGGGTACATGTGCAGGATGTACAGGTTTGTTACACAGGTAAACATGTGCCATGGTGGTTTGCTGCAGCTATCAACGCATTACCTAGGTATTAAGCCCAGCACGCATTAGCTCTTTTCCCTAATGTTCTCCCCAACTCTGCCCTCCCCCAGCAGACCCTAGTAAGTGTTGTTCTCCTCCCTGTGTCCATGTGTTCTCATTGTTTAGCTCCCATTTATATGTGAGAACATGCGGTGTTTGGTTTCCTGTTTCTGTGTTAATTTGCTGAGGATAATGGCTTCCAGCTTCATCCATGTCTCTGCAAAGGACGTGATCTCATTCCTCTTTATGGCTGCATAGTATTCCGTGGTGTATATGTACCACAGTGAATAGAAAGCATCTTACATTATCAGTAGTATAAAATGTAGAATTACTGCAGAAATCTGAGGCATTTTACTGAAAAATATTTGGGATAGTCGTCACCATTTATGACTTACAATTACCAGTTGTTGAAAGTTAATAGAGATAGTAATTATCAAGAACACATCAAAATTTTGAAATAAACTGCATAACGCAAAAAAGTAAAAATGAAAATCTTGAACCTGCATTGACTGAATGGATTCATCAAGAAAGCAGTGAATTTATGCAACTGTCTAGTTTTTTTTTTTTTTTTGGTAATGAAACAAGCAAAACTAAGCCATGAAGAGCTGAACTAAGAGATAAATGTGTTTTAAAAGTGTGAGTCTAGAATTTTTAGAAGAAACACAATGTAAACCAGTGTTCTCAGCCTTGGCACTATTGACATTTTGGACTAGATAATATTTTCTTGGTGAGAGGAGCTGTCTACTAGGGTCCCTAGCTTCTACTTGTTACATGTCAGAAGAAACTCCTGGTGTGACAACCAAAAATGGCTCCAGACATTGCCAAATGTTCCCTAGGGAGTTGGGAGAGGGAAGGGAGGGACAGAGGGGTGGTGAACTATCCCTGGGTGAGACCCACTAGTGTAACCATCTGAAAAATCTATGGTTAAAAAGCCGCTATTAATTATGGAATATTTGAGATTTACACTGAAAACTCTGCCAATATTCTATCTATTTAAAATCTTGGTCCTACATAAAACTTAGGATTTTTAGGAATCTGGTCCCAGTGCAGAGCTATTTTTCTAGCAAAATTAATACATTCAGAACCAAGGTTTACTGATTTATTTGCCTTCCCAGTCGCCAAGTCATATTCTTAATTTCTGTGTCACTGGTCCACTACTCACTGCCTCAGCTAATTCATTTTCTAACTTTCAGTTTCCTACTCCCAACAATACAAGGAGGCATCAAATTACCAACCTTGGACAGAGGCAGAACTCTCATTTCTGTAGTTAAGCCTTCTCAGAAGGGGAGTGCTATGGTTTGGCTGCGTAAGCATTTCAATCTTGTCTTGAATTGTAGCTCCCACAATTCCCACGTGTTGTGGGAGGGACCAGGTGGGAGATAGTTGAGTCATGGGGGCAGGTCTTTCCCCATGCTGTTCTCATGACAGTGAATAAGTCTTATGAGATCTGATGGTTTTATAAAGGGAAAAACCCTTTCGCTTGCTGTCATTCTTCTCTTGCCTGCCATCATGTGAGACATGCCTTTCACCTTCCGCTGTGATTGTGAGATCTCCCCAGCCACATGGAACTGTGAGTCTATTATAGCCCTTTTTCCTTATAAATTATCCAGTCTTGGGTATGTCTTTATCCGCAGCCTGAAAACAGACTAATACAGGGAGAAACTAAGAAGATGGCATTCTCTCATAGATAGTTTCCAAAAAACGAGCAAGTCCCCAGATTTTGCATAGAGACTTTCACAAGCTCCCTTCACCCTTCAGAAATGATAGCAGAGAGGAGAGCACTTTGGATGAGATAAGGTCTATCTTATTATTCCTAAATTCTCTGAGCACCTTCTTCACAGATAAGAATGTTGAAAAATAAAAATATGTGAAATTGCCGTCACTGTAGCTTGCATGGTTAGCACTGCAGTCTATGCTCATGTGCCAAGCTTAGATTGCCATATTTAGCAAATAAAAATAGAGGGTGCCTAGTTAAATTTGGATTTCAAATACATTATTGTTGTTTATCTGAAGTTCGGATTTAACTGGGTATCCTGTACTTTATTTGGCAACCTTAGCCCAACTTGCTAATAATGCTCAGAAGGAGTGAATTTAATACTTCTTTGTGTTCTTTAACACATGCCTATGACAGCGTGCACATAGGGAAGTTTTCAAATGATAAATGCAAAATGAATGAAAGTTTCTCCTTTACATTGGGACTAGCAGACCTTGCATCTCTCTCCCACCCTGAGACACACCCTGTACATAAGAAATTCTATCAATAATTCAGACTCAGTCTAGTCACTATTCACCAATGGTGGTTGTAAGCTCAGGCTCTAGAATCAGGAAATCTGAATTTAAACATGACCCCTTCTACTAGGGTTAATTTTAACAACCATTAACCTTTAAAAAAATATATAAAATGGATCCAACAGTAATATATTCCTCACAGGATTATTGTTGAGGGTAAAACTAAGCAGTGGCTCTTCTTAGTGCTGATAATATAATAATCACTCTAATATATTACCATTTTATTTTTACAATCCCTATAAAGGAAAGCTTCATTATTTTTCTATTCCTTAACTTCTAAAGCAAGTAACGTCTACATCATGATTTGGCAATTGTCTTTTATTAATTTATCACTAATTACCATTTTAAGCACATGAGGACAGAAACACTGGTTTATATATAATAATTCATATGCCTAAACCTCACACAAAAGGAGATTGCTGATATCGAAGAGAGGGACTTCATATATACTCAGATTTAAATTGCAATCGGATTTCTAGCACTAACTTTGTGACAGTGGGTAAGTTCATTATACCCTTTGAATTTTAGATTCCAAAGATCTATATGCTTTTAAATACCAAAGATATGATAGGATAGGTATTAGATTTCCATACCAAAATTTATAAGCCTGGTAATTAGTCACTGCAAAATATTACAATACTCCGCGCTAATACAGACCAGATTTGCTTTGTTTATTACTCCATTCTCATCACCCAAGGTAATAACTAGTATATTCTAAGTCACTAATAAATATTGGCTGTATGAACTAATAGCCTTTTGCATAACCTGTCACCACTGTACACAGGGGCCTTCTAGTGCTTCATTGCCAATGACTGAGCATCTGTCTCTGGTTCACAGGTCATCCAGCTTCTTTGTTCATTTTCTTTAGATCCAGCTGGCTCCCTGATCCCAGAGCATAGTCTTTCCCTGAGGCTCGCTACTCAAAAGAGTCAAACTTCATCCAGCCCTCACTTCTTCCACCCGCTCTTCAAATGGTCCAATCCACTTTCCATCCTGGATACTCCACTGACTGCAAATATCAACTCCTCCAAACCCAGTACTTGCGTCTCTGTCACGTTCTTACTTCACTCACCTGTCAGTGGTTCTCACCACAACTGGCCACTCCCTCGCCTCGAAAAAATCATTTTTCTTTGATTCCCATGCATCACATTCCTTGGGTTTTTTTTCTCCAGCATCTCTGGGGAATCTTCTCAGTCCCTTATGCTGTCCTGTGGCCCTCTGATATTTTTTCTACACAAAAATCTATCTCCCTCTGCAACCTCTTCCACTTCCCTGGAATTTAACACAGAACCTGCATTGACCCCAACATAAATACCTCCAGCCCTGGCCTCACCCTGAACTCCTCTCTTATATTCAGTTGACTTCCTGATTGCTTCATGTGAGTTCAAAAATCATCTCAATTTTAATAAACACAATTGTCATTTCTAATCACCCACTTCAAATCATTTCCTCCCATTATTCTTCCCTATTTCAATAAGCAGCACCACCATCCACCTATTTATCAAGGCAAAATACTTAGAAATAAGTTACATTTAATCCATTAACAAGTCATGCAAAAAGACATCCCAAGTCTGTTCACTTTATCTGGATCTGTCTTTGTCACTACTACACTACATGAAGCCAAAAATTTTTCTTCCCTGGAGAATTCTGCTGTTGTCCACTTGTGAACCCCAACAATCCAATCTCCACATAGTAGCTAGAATTATTTTTAAAATTGAATATTATCGGGGGACCTGCCCCGATAATCACGTAGGTTCTTTTCTATTTTCCTAAGCATCGGCCGGCTTGAGAAATAAAGGGACAGAGTACAAAAGAGAGAAATTTTAAAGCTGGGGGAGACATCACACGTTGGTAGGATCCACGGTGCCCCACAAGCCACAAAAACCAGCAAGTTTTTATTAGGGATTTTCAAAAGGGGAGGGAGTGTGCGAATAGGTGTGGGTGACAGACATCAAGTACTTAACAGGGTAATAGAATATCACAAGGTAAGTGGAGGCAGGGCGAGATCACAGGACCACAGGACCGAGGCGAAATTAAAATTGCTAATGAAGTTTCAGGCACCATTGTCATCAATAACATCTTATCAGGAGACATGGTTTTGAGATCAACCGATCTGACCAAAATTTATTAGGTGGGAATTTCCTCTTCCTAATAAGCCTGGGAGCGCTATGGGAGACTGGAATCTATCTCACCTCTGCAATCTCAACCATAAGAGATAGGTACGCCCCGGGGGGGCCAGTTCAGAGACCTACCCCTAGGTGTGCATTCTCTTTCTCATGGACATTCCATGCTGAGAAAAAGAATTCAGCAATATTTCTCCCATTTGCTTTTGAAAGAAGAGAAATATGGCTCTGTTCTGCCTGGCTCACCAGCAGTCAGAGTTTAAGGTTATCTCTCTTATTCCCTGAACAATTGCTGTTATCCTGTTCTTTTTTCAAGGTGCCCACATTTCATATTGCTCAAACACACATACTATACAATTTGTGCAGTTAATGCAATTATCACATAGTCCTGAGGCGACGTACATCCTCCTCGGCTGATAGGATTAAGAGATTAAAGTAAAGGCAGGCATAGGAAATCACAAGGGTATTGACTGGGAAAGTGATAAGTGTTCATGAAATCTTTACAATTTATGTTTAGAGATTGCAGTAAAGACAGGCATAAGAAATTACAAAAGTATTAATTTGGGGAACTAATAAATGTACATAAAATCTTCACAATCCACATTCTTCTGTTCTGGCTTCAGCCGGTCCCTCTGTTTGGGGTCCCTGACTTCCCGCAACATAATATTAATGGACTCTCCTTGTAACCTTCCAGGAGCTTCAAATATGTTTAAATAAAACTTAATTCCTTACTATGGCCACCAAGGCCGAATATGATGCAGCTCCTGACTTTCTCTCTCTCTTACCTCATCTTCTGCCACTCCACCCCTTGCTTTCCATCCTTCAGCCCCTCTAACCTTCTTTCTGTCTCTTCAACACAGCACACGCCTTCCCATTCCTTGGCCTTTCCCCTTTTCTGTCTGTCTGGAACACTTGTCCCTTAGATCTTCACATGGCTGTCTTATTGTTCTTGTCTCAGCTAAATGTGAGCTCTCCTCAGGGAGGGCTCCCAAACTACCTGTGAATCCAATGTGAAGTTGGGTGAATCCAATTCTCTCTGTCCTATCACCCTGATGTCTTTTTTTAAAGGCATTATTGCTCTCTGAATTTTTCTTTTTTGTTAAATATTTATTGGGATATTGTCTGTCTCCTCTGGTATTGAGTTCCATGAGAGTAGGGATCTTTTTTATCCTATTCAAGTAGAAATCTCTCAGCCTAGAACAGAGACCAGAACAAAACTTTTGCTCAGAAACATACCTGTGGTCTAAATGAATAAACCGAAGTTCTGGGAACTGATCACTCTGGGTATTCTAGAAAGCAGAAAAGGGCTCAAGCTCCTGCACCCTTTCATTCTAATGACATGCTATATCCCTTCTCCTCCCTGTGAGAAATTAAGGCAAACTTCCTTTCTCTCCTCTTTCTAGTTGGAAGAAGGATTCACAGATAAGGAAACAGTGATTGTAAGAAAGAAAAAAATTTTCATTAAGAATTACCTCTTTTCTGCCGGGCGCAGTGGCTCACGCCTGTAATCCTAGCACTTTGGGAGGCTGAGGCAGGCGGATCATGAGGTAAGGAGTTTGAGAACAGCCTGGCCAACATGGTGAAACCCCGTCTCTACTAAAAATACAAAAATTACCTGGGAGGTGGAGGTTGCAGTGAGCTGAGACTGCACCATTGCACTCCAGCCTGGGCAACAGAGTGAGACTCCATCTCAAAAAAAAAAAAAAAAGAATTATCGGTTTTTTTTTTAATAGTTTAAGTTCTAGGGTACATGTGCACAATGTGCAGGTTTGTTACATATGTATACATGTGCCACGTGGTGTGCTGCACCCATTAACTCTTCATTTACATTAGGTATATCTCCTAATGCTATCCCTCCCCCCTTCCTCCACCCCACAACGGGCCCCATGTGTGAAGTTCCCCTTCCTGTGTCCATGTGTTCTCATTGTTCAATTCCCACCTATGAGTGAGAACATGCGGTGTTTGGTTTTTTGTCCTTGCAATAGTTTGTTGAGAATGATGGTTTCCAGCTTCATCCATGCCCCTGCAAAGGACATGAACTTATCCTTTTTTATGGCTGCATAGTATTCCATGGTGTATATGTGCCACATTTTCTTAATCCAGTCTATCATTGTTGGACATTTGGGTTGGTTCCAAGTCTTTGCTATTGTGAATAGTGCCACAATAAACATACATGTGCATGTGTCTTTATAGCAGCATGATTTATAATCTTTTGGGTATATATCCAGTAATGGGATTGCTGGGTCAAATGGTATTTCTAGTTCTAGATCATTGAGGAATCGCCACACTGATTTCCACAATGGTTGAACTAGTTTACAGCCCCACCAACAGTGTAAAAGTGTTCCTATTTCTCCACATCCTCTCCAGCACCTGTTGTTTCCTGACTTTTTAATGATCTCCATTCTAACAGGTGTGAGATGGTATCTCATTGTGGTTTTGATTTGCATTTCTCTGATGGCCAGTGTTGATGAGCATTTTTTCATGTGTCTTTTGGCTGCATAAATGTCTTCTTTTGAGAAGTGTCTGTTCATATCCTTCACCCACATGTTGCTTGGGTTGTTTGTTTTTTTCTTGTACATTTGTTTGTGTTTTTTGTAGTTTCTGGATATTAGCCCTTTGTCAGATGAGTAGATTGCAAACATTTTCTCCCATTCTGTAGGTTGCCTGTTCACTCTGATGGTAGTTTCTTTTGCTGTGCAGAAGCTCTTTAGTTTAATTAGATCCCATTTGTCCATTTTGGCTTTTGTTGCCATTGCTTTTGGTGTTTTAGACATGAAGTCCTTGCCCATGCCTATGTCCTGAATGGTATTGCCTAGGTTTTCTTCTAGGGTTTTTATGGTTTTAGGTCTAACATGTAAGTCTTTAATCCATCTTGAATTAACTTTTGTATAAGGTGTAAGGAAGGGATCCAGTTTCAGCTTTCTACATATGGCTAGCCAGTTTTCCCAGCACCATTTATTAAATAGGGAATCCTTTCCCCATTTCTTGTTTTTGTAAGGTTTGTCAAAGATCAGATGGTTGTACATATGTGGCATTATTTCTGAGGGCTCTGTTCTGTTCCCTTGATCTCTATCTCTGTTTTGGTTACTGTAGCCTTGTAGTATAGTTTGAAGTCAGGTAGCATGATGCCTCCAGCTTTGTTCTTTTGGCTTAGGATTGACTTGGCAATGAGGGCTCTTTTTTGGTTCCATATGAACTTTAAAGTAGTTTTTTCCAATTCTGTGAAGAAAGTCATTGGTAGCTTGATGGGGATGGCATTGAATCTATAAATTACCTTGGGCAGTATGGCCATTTTCATGATATTGATTCTTCCTACCCATGAGCATGCAATATTCTTCCATTTGTTTGTGTCCTCTTTTATTTCGTTGAGCAGCAGTTTGTAGTTCTCCTTGAAGAGATCCTTCACATCCCTTGTAAGTTGGATTCTTAGATATTTTATTCTCTTTGAAGCAATTGTGAATGGGAGTTCACTCAAGATTTGGCTCTCTGTCTGTTATTGGTGTATAAGAATGCTTGTGATTTTTGCACATTGATTTTTTATCCTGAGACTTTGCTGAAGTTGCTTATCAGCTTAAGGAGATTTTGGGCTGAGACGATGGGGTTTTCTAGATATACAATCATGTCATCTGCAAACAGGGACAATTTGACTTCCTCTTTTCCTAATTGAATACCCTTTATTTCCTTCTCCTGCCTGATTGCCCTGGCTAGAACTTCCAACACTATGTTGAATAGGAGTGGTGAGAGAGGGCATCTTTGTCTTGTGCCCGTTTTCAAAGGGAATGCTTTCAGTTTTTGCCCATTCAGTATGATATTGGCTGTGGGTTTGTCATAAATAGCTCTTATTATTTTGAGATACATCCCATCAATACCTAATTTATTGAGAGTTTTTAGCATGAAGGGTTGTTGAATTTTGTCAAAGGCCTTTTCTTCATCTATTGAGATAATCATGTGGTTTTTGTCGTTGGTTCTGTTTATGTGCTGGATTACCTTTATTGATTAGCATTTGTTGAACCAGCCTTGCATCCCAGGGATGAAGCCCACTTGATCATGGTGGATAAGCTTTTTGATGTGCTGGTGGATTCGGTTTGCCAGTATTTTATTGAGGATCTTTGCATCGATGTTCATCAGGGATATTGGTCTAAAATTCTCTTTTTTTTCGTTGTGTCTCTGCCCGGCTTTGGTATCAGGATGATGCTGGCCTCATAAAATGAGTTAGGGAGGATTCCCTCTTTTTCTATTGATTGGAATAGTTTCAGAAGGAATGGTACCAGCTCCTCCTTGTACCTCTGATAGAATTCGGCTGTGAATCTGTCTGGTCCTGGACTTTTTTGGTTGGTAAGCTATTAATTATTGCCTCAATTTCAGAGCCTGTTATTGGTCTATTCAGAGATTCAACTTCTTCCTGGTTTAGTCTTGGGAGAGTGTATGTGTCGAGGAATTTATCCATTTCTTCTAGATTTTCAAGTTTATTTGTGTAGAGGTGTTTATAGTATTCTCTGATGGTAGTTGGTATTTCTGTGGGATCGGTGGTGATACCCCTTTATCATTTTTTATTGCATCTATTTGATTCTTCTCTCTTTTCTTCTTTATTAGTCTTATTAGCGGTCTATCAGTTTTGTTGATCTTTTCAAAAAACAAGCTCCTGGATTCATTGACTTTTTTGAAGGGTTTTTTGTGTCTCTATTTCCTTCAGTTCTGCTCTGATCTTAGTTATTTCTTGCCTTCTGCTAGCTTTTGAATGTGATCGCTCTTGCTTCTCTAGTTATTTTAATTTTGATGTTAGGTTGTCAGTTTTAGATCTTTCCTGCTTTCTCTTGTGGGCATTTAGTGCTATAAATTTCCCTCTACTTTAAAGCCAGAATTAGTTTCTAAAACTGAACATGAATTGACTCTCCTTGTAACCATCCAGTAGTGTCTCACATCTATTTAAATAAAATTCAGGCTGGGTACGGAGACTAATGATTGTAATCCCAGCAGTTTGGGAAGCCAAGGCAGGCAGATTACCGGAGGTCAGGAGTTCGAGACCAACGTGGCCAACATGGTAAAACGCTGTCTCTACTAAAAATACTAAAAAATTAGCCTGGCATGGTGGCAGGCGCCTGTAGTCCCAGCTACTCGGGAGGCTGAGGCAGGAAAATCACGTGAGCCCAGGAGGCAGAGGTTGTAGTGAGCCGAGGCCACTCCATTGCATCCAGCCTGGGCAACAAGAACGAAACTCCATCTCAAAAAATAAATAATGAAATAAAAAAATGAAAATAAATAAAATAAAATTCAAATTTCTTACCATGGACATCAGAGCCTAATATAATGAGGCTCCTGACTTCCTCTCTGCTTCCTACCTCACCCTCTGCCTCTGCATTTCCTTGAATGCTATAGTTCAGTGTCTCTAGCCTTCTTTCTGTCCCTGCACGTAATTTCCCACCCCAGGGCTTCCCGCCCCCCCTGCCCCCACATTCTGTCTCCCTGGAACTTTCGTCCCTTAGATCTTCACATGGCTCTCTACTTATTTTGTTGTCTCAGCTGAATGTCACTTTCTCAGGCAGAGCTTTCTAAACACATGAGCTAAAGTTGGGTGAATCCATTTCTCTCTTTTCCACAAACCTGATGTCTTTTCTTCAGTGCACTATTACTCTCTAACGTTATCTTCTTTGTTAATTGCATATTGGGTTAATGTCTGTCTCCTCTATTGTTGTGTAACTTCCATGAGCGTCGGGACCCTCTCTATCTTAATCAAATACAATGATTTGAACTTGGAATGGAGCCGAGTACACAGTAGCTGCTGAGAAAAATAAGTGTGGTTTACAAGAATAAACCAGGGATCTGGGAACTGATCACTGTTTGGATCCTGGAAAGCAAGAAGGGGCTCAAACTCCAGCACTCTTTCATTTTGATGTCACACTAGACCCCTTCTCCTCCCGGTGTGAAATACAGGCAAAGTTCTTCTTTCTCCTCCTTCTAGTTGTAAGAATTCACAGATAAAGATTAACAGTGATTTAAGAAATAATAAATTTTTAAATTAAGATTCATCTATTTTTTGCCTGGGTGCGGTGGCTCAAACCTATAACCCTAGCATGTTGGGAGGTCAAGGCTGGAGGATTGCTTGAGTCCAGCAGTTTAAGACCAGCCTGGGTAACATAGCAAAATCTCATCTCTAGCAAAATTACAAAAATCAGCTGGGCATGGTTTCCTGCCTGTAGTCTCCACTACTCTGGAGGCTGAGGAGGGAGGCTCGCTTGAGCCTGGGAGGCAGAGGTTGCAGTAAGCCTAGATCATAACACTGAACTACAGCATGGGTGACAGAGCCAGGCCTTGTCTCAAAAAAAGGAAAAAATCTCTTTCAATGGATCTCATAGTGCTCTGGGTCTGTGCAAGCTTTAGGAATTTCTGGAAATGATGACAACATAGCTGGGGAAAAATAAAAACTGGAGGAAGAGGTAAGCAGACATGGCTAATTAAGGAAAGCTGAGGGCATGACGGGTGAACCTAGGAAATTTAAGACAAGACCCCAGTAAGACAATGAGTTCCCAGGACTTGCTCATTGACTTTCAGCCCTATGAGATGTGAACAATGTCCGCATTGTCTCTGTAACCTCACACAGTATATAGTTTGAACATTATTAAATTTCTGATATTTGACTGTTTTTGACTTACAAAAATAGAATTTCATATAATTTATCTTACGTTAGTTGAATATCTTCTTGTTATGTCTAGTTAGAGCATGTAGGACATGTAGGAGAAATTTCTATAGAAAGGTTAGAAGAGATTCATAATAAACACTAAGCCGGGCCAGGTTTTCCGAGGATGCCTTAAGTTCTTTAGGCACCAAAGAACACCCCAGAGATGCTCTTTATCTGTAGGGTGACTCCAAGTACTAAAGATCTTAGCTTCAGTTCCAGGGATTTTTCCCCATAAGAAAGACAGAGCACTAAGTATAACTTCTGTCAGAGAACCTACATACACTACAGGGATATAGGCTTTATAAACATTGGAGTTCAGAAAGAAAAAGAAAGGAGATAATGGGGAGGCCATTGGTACATCCTCACATTTGAGGAAGAGGGGCCAACACCAAAGTTCCTGTGGAGGACATAACCCAGGATCCTCTAGAAGAGACCCTTTGAATTATCTTGACTCCCACAAAATTTTCAGTAAAAACGTCATTTTGTCTGACGTAAGTCAACATAATAAAGGGAAGTGCTGTATGGGGAAATTATTTTAGCATCCTTATTGCCAAATCCTCTAAACACCCTGAGGACATGTGATGCAAAGGTTTTATTGGTGGAGATTTAAAAAGAAATGATCTGTACGAAGGCCCCTTACACAGTCTTATGGACTGTGTCATGAGCAAGTAGTCAAGCTCCTTTCGTGGAGGAGATAATTTGGGATCCAATAATACAGATGCACAATCTCTGACCAAAACGTCACAAAGTCTTAAGGGACATGGCCTGGGCACAATGTTAACAAAACTCTCTATTTTCCCCACCCCATAGTAGCTCAGCACCCACAATGTGCGCTTATGTCGGGTGTCCCCAGCCAAAGCCAGTGGGAAGCTCAGCACCATCAGTGTCACTGTCAGCGCTGCCATGCAGGAGCCTTCAGGGAGCTTCAGACACACCATGCTGGAGAACAGGAAAGGACCAGGGGCCAGAGGAGGAGGCAAGTCTTACTCAGGAAGAACTATGAACCCCTCCACCCACATTCCAAATTATGGGGTTGGAAGTTACTGACTTTCTTGCTCCTGGGTCGGGTAATCTCGTGTTGGAGAACCAATCAGCATCTGAGTTCAATAGCATCATCAGTTGCTGGTCAGAGATGCTGTATGAAGGTCCTCTTCTGAAACAGAATTTCCTTCTTTAAAGGATTGTTTTTAAATTAGTGCTTGAAAGATTTGATCCAGTTGCATGTAAAACACTTTAATTGGGTCCGATTGTGAGCCAGCTCTGTGCTGGTCAGTGATGTGTTCGTAAGTTTGAGCCTTGTAAGAGCATTCATTTCCCACTTGACAAGACAACTGTTTGCAGAAGTGAGTGTGTGAGTGTGTTTAGGAGTAAAGGAGATGGAAGGAACATGGTTGTAAATCCGGAGACATTTAAACTGGTCCTTATTGCACCATATCTTAATGTTGTAGATTTGGGAAAATTATTTCGTGTCTCACAGTTGAAATGAAGGCACTGTGATCTTTCAGGTCTTTCGATACTGGAAAATGCTGTGATTCTGTGGACGCCTGAAGGAGCAGCAGCCCCGGGTATCTGATAATATGACAGAATGACAGCTATTGACTAGAGAGCTTAATCCGTACCTGTTTACAGGTAGGGATGTCTTTAATAAGTTAAAGGAAATTGAAAGTTTGTTAATAATTTAATCTGAGTAAGAATATCTTTTTCAAGTGTGTCTCCTGATGCTGCCCCCAGGTTTAGTGGCCCCTCCAGAACACACACAGGCAAGGGGCTAACAGGGGCCACCTATGTGCAATGGAGGGTCTGAAGGTGCCTTTGTATGGCACTTACCCTAACAATGTGATAAGGTCAACTGTGCAATCCAAGTATTCATGGGTCTGAGAGATCGATCGAAGACTGTGAAAGTTAGCTGTTCATAGAACAACTCTTTTTTTTTTGAGACGGAGTCTGTCTCTGTTGCCCAGGCTGGAGTGCAGTGGAGCGATCTCAGCTCACTGCAACATCTGCCTCCTCGGTTCAAAGATTCTCCTGCCTCAACCTCCCAAGTAACTCTGACTACAGGCACTTGCCACCATGCTTGGTTAATTTTTTGTATTTTTAGTGGAGATGGGTTTCACTGTGTTAGCCAAGATGGTCTCGATCTCCTGACCTCATGTTCTTCCTGCCTCGGCCTCCCAAACTGCTGGGGTTACAGGCGTGAGCCATCGTGCCTGGCCACATTATGTTTTAAAATAATGAATATTTTATGTGAAGAGTGTTCAATCCCTCATTCTTGGTTCCCATTATGATTTCCTCATTTGATTGAGGCTATAGCACTTTATATTATGTTTCTCTTGTTTTATCATAAGGGAAGATAAAAGACGACTTTGCTAACTAATACATTTCAGAATATTCAGGAAAGAGAACACTAGGGAAAACTATGAATTACATCAGTTGATGTAACTATGTAATATTAAACATATTATTATACATTTAGATAATGACTATGCTTTTTATTAATATAAATATAACATCTAAGATTCAGAATGGACTTCAGAATACAACTATGCTTATAAAGTTCTGCATTAATTCACATGCTACCACATAGGCACTCATTTGTCTTTTTTTTGTTTGTTTGTTTGTTTGTTTGTTTTGAGATGGAGACTCGTTCTGTCGCCCAGGCTGGAGTGCAGTGGCGCGATCTCTGCTCACTGCAAGCTCAGCCCCCCAGGTTCATGCCATTCTCCTGCCTCAGCCTCCTGGGTAGCTGGGACTACAGGCGCCCGCCACAACTCCCGGCTAATTTTTTTGTATTTTTAGTAGAAACAGGGTTTCACTGTGTTCGCCAGGATGGTCTCAATCTCCTGACCTTGTGGTCTGCCTGCCTCGGCCTCCGAAAGTGCTGGGATTACAGGCGTGAGCCACCGCGGCCGGCCTAAAGTCTGTAACCTGTCTTTATGGAGAACTACTTTTGAGGCCGTACACTTCTTTCAGTAACAATATTGTCTAAGTAATGGTATGGCAAAGTTGTTTCTACCTTTTCTGGAGCTATTTTGACATTCCATTTAGTTAAAGCCTACTTTGTTTCTTGGAATAAGCGATGTAAGATTTGATCTATAGGAGCGGCCAAAAGAATGTCATCCATAAAATGAATGATGTAAGCAGTAGGAAACATATTTCGAGGCTCCTTTAATGCCTGTCCTACAAAATGCTGACATAACGTAGGACTGTTAAGCATGCCTTGGGGTAAAACTCTCCATTGATAGCAAGAAACAGGTTCTTTTTGATTAATAGAAGGCACAGAGAAGGCAAATCGAGGCTTATCCTTCTCCTGTAATGGTATAGTGAAGAAACAATCCTTAAGATGTATTACTACAAGAAGCCAATCTCTAGGAATGACCACTGGAGTTGGCAAACCTTGCTGTAATGGACCCATTGGTTCAATTTGTGCATTAACTCCAAACGTGCAGCAGTCACCACCTTCCAGACTTTTTTGGAATAACAAACACTGGTGAATTCTGGGGGCTAACTGACTCCTCTATATGTCCTGTGTCCAGTTGTTCTTATACTAGCTGCTGAAGTTGTGTCAGCTTCTCCTGAGATAGGGGCCATTGATCCACCCATACGGGTTTGTCACTGGCCATTCTAATGGTAAGGCAGAGGGTGGAGGAGAAATATCAATGACCTCCATCAGAAATCCTGACGTCCTAGCCCTCTTCTATCTGTTTTTTCCAGTTATTGATATTGGGTTAGGTTTTCCTTGTAGGAATTTCCCTAAACCTTTCCCACTCTGATATCCCATGTCCTTCAACATTTTAAATCCTGGGTTATCAAAGTTTTCATTTGTAAGTCTCATATTCCATTCTGTAAGTAAGTCTCGATCCCATAAATTGATTGCCATATTTGCAACATAAGGCTGAAAAGTACATGGCTGTCCATCCGGACCAAGACAAGGTAAAATGTCAGCACTCTGTTGAACACTTTTAGCTGCTCCTCCTCCCACTAGGGATGTGGAGGTTAGTCTGAGAGACCATACTGGGGGTCAGTCCTTACTGGATATTACTGACACTTCAGCTCCTCTATCCATAAGTCCTATGGGCTATGGGATGGGATAGATAGATTTCCCTTGTAGTTGTGCTCCCAAACCCTTTATTTCCTCGTTTCTCCTTTCGTGGAGAAGGATAAGGATTTAATTTGCAGGGAATAAGCAACGACTGAGCAATATATTCTCCCAGTTCAAAAATGCAAAGATTTTTGACATTAAAACTACTTGAATTTCTCCTTCATAAATGGAATCAACTATTCCAGGGACTACAGTCATGCCTTGCAAGTTAAGGGGGCTTTTGCCTAAAATTAGTCCTATGTATCCTGTTGGTAAAAGTCCCCAAATGCCAGTGGGAACCTTGTAGGTTTGTCTCCTCCAACTAATGTAGTTCTTTCTCTGGTGGGGATATCTAATCCTGCACTTCCTGGTGTTCCTGAGGTGAGGAACACCAGGAATCAATGTTTTTCCTGAGACCCATCCCTGAAGTGGGACTGTGGTCTGAACTGGAAATGCCCTCATTGTTTGAGGGGCCCGGATCCAGGCCCCCTTCTAGTTTCCCGACACGGGGATGTTGTTTTGATGAAATTTTGAGCGGCACTGATTAGCCTAGTGATTTCCTTTGTTACAGTGAGGACAAAGTCCTGGTGTTTTTTTCCGCTGGGTGGGGCACTGCATCGTAATGTCCTTTCTGTCCTGAGATCTGGTGGAATTCCTTTATAAAATGTCCAGTTTTGGCTGGGCATGGTGGCTCATGCCTGTAATCCAAGCACTTTGGGAGGCCAAGGTGGGCGGATTACAAGGTCAGGAGATCGAGACCATCCTGGCTAACATGGTGAAACCCCATCTCTTAAACAAATACAAAAAATTAGCTGGGCGTAGTGGCGGGCGCCTGTAGTCCCAGCTACTTGGGAGGCTGAGGCAGGAGAATGGCATGAACCTGGGAGGAGGAGCTTGCAGTGAGCCGAGGTTGCACCACTGCACTCCAGC
Source organism: Homo sapiens (assembly GCF_000001405.40). Lineage (NCBI taxonomy): Eukaryota > Metazoa > Chordata > Mammalia > Primates > Hominidae > Homo > Homo sapiens. The sequence continues at coordinate 3,717,857 of NT_167245.2, forward strand.
CTGGACGACAGAGCGAGACTCCATCTCAAAAAAAAAAAAAAAAAGTACAGTTTTTCCACAGTTATAACATTTTCCCATTTTAGGGTTTGACCCTTGGTTCCTTTTAGATTTGTCAACTGCTAAATTAGCCATTGCCTGCACTAATATTGTAGAGCGATGAAGCTCATTTCCCACATCTTGACAAGCTCTGAGAAAATTTCCCAAGTTTTTTGTACACCTCACAGGTGCCGATGCACATTTACAATCTGCATTTGCATTCTCAAAAGCTAGAGTTAAGGTTAGCATCTCTGCAGCAGTGGTGTGATAAATCTGATGCTTCATTGCCTTTTATAGTCATGCAAGAAATTGTGCATAAGGTTCTTGCGACCCTTGCATGATATGTAAAAAGGATTGCACTGGGACTCCCTCTTCTGGAATTGTGGCCCAGTTGCATTTGGCAGCCTGTGCACACTGCTGGCATTTGGGAGTGCCATTTGATGTTCCAGGTCTGAATAAGGGCCATTACCTAAGAGCATGTCCTCTGTAATGTCTCTGTGTCCAGCCACACAATTCTGTCTAGCCTGGTCTGCACACATTTCTTGCCAATTTAAATTCCATGTCAGGTATGCACTAGGAGACAAACAAGTGTAAGCCAAATTCTTTACATCGAAGGGTAGAAGGCGCACAGCACCAAATACAGATACTAGCCATCCTAAAGTGAACAGGCTGTGTACACCATTATTTACCACACTCCTTTTAATTCCTTCAACAACTTAAACTCTAGTGGAGTGTGTTCATGAATAAGCTGCTATGGATTATTTGGATCAGGCCTTACAGAAATAGGAAAAGTGCAAGGTCCTAAGGGCTCTCCAGCTATGGCAGCACGGTGTAAAATTCTCTGTATTGGGGTCTCTATTTTTGCTACCGAAGGAGGCGGTACAGATGTTTCTGCTATTGGAGGAGGCGGTATAGGCCAATTTTTATCCTCCTTCTCCTGTTTTTTATTTTCAATTGGAGCTGTGGGTGGGACAACAGATTTTTTCAGATTTTTAGACTCAGAACATCACTCCTGCTGTCCAGCAGAAGAAGGAGATAATGGCAGAAGGACAGTATAGACTAAACTCCAAGTGGAGAAAACAGAAGGATCAACTTTGAGACCTTTTTACTGAGCCCATTTTAATCCTTCTGCTCTGTCCCAATTTTCCATATCAAGAGTGCCTGTCTGTGGGAACCATGGGTTATACATAATAACCTCCTGCAGCATTGTAGTTAATGTCTGAGATCTAACCTGAGCACCAGATTATTTCAACAAAACTTTAAGCAACTGCTCATAATGTTTTTCTTCAATAGACAAATTCTGCCTCACGTTACCCTGATTTAGAAAACTTCCCGTTCCCAATACTTCTTTAGAGCACTGACCTTATATTGCTCCCAGTACCTCTTTAGGGCACTGACCTTATATCAGCTGCCAGCAGACTCATCTCGGGGTCCCCATTCGTCTTGTCAATTTCAGTTCCTCTGCTCCACCAGATCTTCTTTGTTCACATTCTCATGTCCCTGTGTTTAGAAACCACTACGGTGTCGCCCTGTCGCTGTTTGAACATCACTATGCCATGGACCCTGTTGGACTGAACAAAGGAGGATGAACATGGAAATAAAGACAAAAGAATATATTTGGAAGAAGGGGTCAGGGGCACCTTGCTCTTTGTGAACAAAGGCCCTGAGCCTGGAGCTTCCTTCGTATTTACTGAGAAGAGATAGCAAGGAGGGGGTCGTTGTCGGTCTGCTGCTTGCTCCAGAGCAGCCTTGCAAGACTACATTCCTTGAACAATAGATTCTAGATGTCCCAGTAGATAACCTGAAGGAGCTCTGCACCAGGGAGTGATTGCCCTCAGCAAACCTTCTGGTGGCCAGCACAGAGGAGAGTTTGCCCCTGCTCTGTATTCATGATAAACAGTTTGCTGTTTGATCATATTGCCTCAGTGGAAATTCTGAATTGGTCATGATTCTCCAGCCTCCGGCTCTCTACACTGAATGGATTCAACAAGAAAGTGGTTGAATTTATGCAACTGTCTAGTTATTTATAATGAAACAAGCAAAAATTAACCATAAAGAAGTGAATTGGGTGGTGATTGTATAAAAGATGTGAGTCTAGGCCAGGCATGGTGGCTCACGCCTGTAATCCCAGCAATTTGGGAGGCTGAGGCGGGCAGATCACGAGGTCAGAAGATCGAGACCATCCTGGCTAACACGGTGAAAACCAGTCTCTACTAAAAAAATACAAAAAATTAGCCAGGTGCAGTGTCGGGCACCTGTAGTCTCAGCTACTCGGGAGGCTGAGGCAGGAGAATGGCATGAACCCAGAGGCGGAGCTGGCAGTGAGCCGAGATTGTGCCACTGCACTCCAGCCTGGGTGACAGAGTGAGACTCCATCTCAAAAAAACAAAACAAAACAAAACAAAACAAAACAAAACAAAACAAAACAAAAAGATGTGAGTCTAGACTTTTCAGAAAGAGCACAGTGTGAACCAGTGCTCTCAACCTCAGCACTGTTGACATTTTGGACCAGGTAATTCTTCGTTGGTGATGGAGGCTGTTGTGTACATTGCAGGTTCTCTAGAAGTGTCCCTGGCTTCTACTCATTAAATATCAGAAGAAATCCCTGTTGTGACAACCAAAAATTCCTCCAAACATTGCCACATGTTCCCCAAGGGTGATGGGAGGGAAGTGAGGGGTGGTGAACTATCCCTGGGTAAGAACCATGGGTGTGAACCATCTGAAAAAATCTGTGTTGAACAAGCCACTATCAGTTATGGAGCAGCTGAGAATTACTTTGAAAAACATCTGTTGAAAATCTTGGTCCTACATAAAATGAAAATGTTGTAGAATTCTGGTCCCAATACAGTGCTATGTTTCCAGAAAATGAACTTGTGGAGAACCAAGATTTACTGATTTCCTTGCCTTTATAATCAGTCATCAAATCATATCATTTATCTTTCATAGCATCTTCTTTCTTAATTTCTGTGCCACTGGTCCACTAATTATCTGTAGTAATGAATCACAACCAGAGCCATTTGATTCCCATTTAATGCCCCAACTAACTCATTTCTCTCAGTCTCCCACTCCCAACAATACTAACAGGCATCAAATTTCCAGCCTTGGCCAGAGGTAGAACTCTCGGTTTTGTAGTCAATTCCCCTCAGAAAGGGAGAAACCAAGAAAATGACATTCTCATACAGGCAGTTTGCAAAAATGAGCAGGTCCCCAGACTTTGAGTATGACCTTTGCAAAGCTCCCTTTGCCCTTTAGAAACGATGCCCTGGATCAAAAATGTCTGTCTTTTTATTCTTAAATTATCTAAGCACTTTCTTTACAGAGAGAAAGTTAAAAAATAAACATGTGTGAAGTCGCTGTCACTGTGGTTTGCATGACTAGCACTGTAATCCATGCTCATGTGTCCCAGTTAGGGTCAAAAGGTTTGGCAAATAAAACCAGAGGATGCCCACTTAAATTTGGATTTCCAATAAATTATGGTGTGTATCTGAAATTCAGATTTAACTAGGAACCTGTATTTTATTTGGCAACCTCAGGCCAACTTGCTAGTCAAACCTCAGAACAAGGAGTGATTTAATACTTCCTTGTGTTCTTCAACACATGCCCAGGAGAGACATATAGAACTTTTAAAATGATAAATGCAAAATGAATGAAAGTTTCTCCTATACATTGGAACTAGCAGCCCTTGCATCTCTGCTCCCACTTCAAGAAACAACCTGATACATATGAATATCAGGAATTCTGTCAATAATTCAGACACAATTTGGTCACTACTCACTAATAATTGGCAGACTCTCAATCTCTAGAATCAGAAAATCTGAATGGAAACATAATCTCTTCTACTTGGGTCAATTTTTACTAACCAAAGCCTTTTTGTAATCTATCAAATGCATTTAATAATAGCATCATCTTCACAGGGTTATTTTTAAGTGTAAAATTAAATAATGACTTCTTAGCACTGACCACATAATAAACACTCAAAAATATTTTCATTTTAATTTTTTATGATCCCTTTAACTGCAGCTCACATTATTTTCCTTATTCCTTGATTCTAAAGCAATTAGTATCTTCATCATGATTTTGCAATTGTTTTCTGTTCTTCTATTAGTTTCATAAAGAATTGTCATTCTGAAAACATAGGGCAGAAACACTAGCTTATGTCTAATAATGCAGTATACCTAAACAAACCTCACACAAAAGGCATCTGCTGACATAGGAGAAAGGGACTTTCTACATGCTCAGATTTAAACTGCAATCTGATTTCTAGCACTACATTTGGGATACTGGGTTTTACTTATATCTTCTCAATTTTAGATTCCAGAGATGTATATGTTTTTAAACACCACAGATACAATAGGATCATTATTGAAATTGTATACTGAAAATCAAAGGCCTGGTACACAGTCACTGCAAAATGTTATATGGCATGTACTGATGGAGACCAGGTTCATTTTATTCATCACTCCATTCTCATGACTTAGAGCAGTAGCTGGCATATTCTAAGTCACTAATAAATATGGGTTGTGTGAAATATTGGCTGTGTGATGTTTTGCATGAACATTCACCACTGCACACAGGGACCCTCTCGTACTTCCTTGCCAATGATGACTGAGCATCTCTGGTTCACAGATCCTCCTGCTTCTCTTCAGCCTTTTTAGTCTTTTCCTTTAGATTCAGCTGGCTTCCTGAACCCAGAGCGCAGTCCTTCCCTGAATCTCTCTACTCAGAACAGTCAACCTTAACCTCATCCTCACTTCTACTTGCTGTTCAAATGGTCCATTCCATTTTCCATCCTGGATACTCCATTGACTGCAAATACCAACTCCAGCAAACCCAGCACTTGCTTCTCTCTCACATTCTCACTTCACCCACTTTGTGATACTCATTGGCTTCTCCCTTCTTGAAAAAAATCTATTTTCTTTGACTTACATGCATTGTGTTCTCTTGGTTTTTCTCCAACATCCCTGGGGCTCCCTCTCAGTCCCCTTTGCTGGCCTGTGACTTCTTTTTTCTACACACAAGCTATTACCCTATGTATCCTCTTCCACTCCCTGGAATTTAACAGAGTACATGTATTGATGCTGTCAACAGAAACACCTCCAGCCCTGAACTCACCGTGAGTCTCTTAAATTCCCTTGACCTTCTGATTGTTCCACATAAATGTCAATAAATCATTTCCAACCACCCACTTCAAATAATCTCCTCCCACAGTTTTCCCTATCTCAATAAACACCACCACCATCCACTTATTTGTCAAGACAAAATCCTTAGGAATAAGCTTGATTGTTCTATCCCCTCTACAGTAATCCATTAACAGGCTAAGCAAATTACATGCCGAGTCTGTCCACTTCATCTTTTTCACTGTCTTTGTCACTAATGCACACCAGGAAGCCATGAGCCTATTTTCCCTGAGGATTCCCTGCTGTGCTCCTAAATAGTCTTCCTGACCACTTGTGAACCCCAGCAATCCAATCCCCACAAAGTAACTAGAATTAGTTTTAAAAATTGAATATAAATGGACTCTCCTTGTAACCATGCAGTAGCTTCCCATATCTGTTTAAATAAAATTAAAATTTCTTACTATGAACATCAGGGCCTAATATGATGAGGCTCCTGACTTCCTCTCTGCATCCTACCTCATCTTCTGCCTCTCCATTTTCTTGCTTCCTATACGTCAGCCCCTCTAGCCTTCTTTCTGTCCCTGCACATAATTTCCCCCCCAGGATTTCCCCCACATTTTGTCTCCCTGGAAATTTTGTCCCTTAGATCCTCACGAGTGTCTACTTATTTTGTTGTCTCAGCTGAATGTCACTTTCTCAGGTAGAGCTGCTTAAGCATATGAACCAAAGTTGGGTGGATCCAATTCTCTCTTTCCACAAACCTGATGTCTTTTCTTCCATGCACAATGACTCTCTGAAATTTTCTTCTTTGTTAAATGATTATTGGGTTATTGTCTATCTCCTCTATGATTGTGTAATTTCCATGAGTAGGGGCCAATCCACTGTATCTTACTCAAATAGAATGATTTGAACCTAGAAGGGAGGCCAGTACACAGTAGCTGCTGATAAAAATAAGTGTGGTTTATATGAATAAACCAGGGTTCTGGGAACTGATCACTGTTTGGATCCTGAAAAGCAAGAAGGGGCTCAAGCTCCAGCACTCTTTCATTTTGATGTCATACTAGACCCCTTCTCTTCCCTGTGAGAAATACAGGCACACTACTTCTTTCTCCTCCTTCTAGTTGGATGAATTAACAGATAAGGAAACTAATTTTTTTCTTTTTTTTTTTTATTTTTGGGATGGAGTCTAGCTCTGTCGCCAGGCTGCAGTGCAGTGGCGTGATCTGGGCTCACTGCAACCTCCGCCCCCTGGGTTCAAGTGATTCTCCTGCCTCAGCCTCCCGAGTAGCTGGGATTACAGGCATGTGCTACCATGCCCAGCTAATTTTTTTATTTTTAGTAAAGACGGGTTTCATCATGTTGGCCAGGATGATCTCGATTTCGTGGCCTCGTGATCTGCCCACTTCGGCATCCCAAAGTGCTGGGATTACAGGCATGAGCCACTGCGCCTGGCCAAGGAAAGAGTAATTTTAAGAAAAAGGAATTTTTTTTTTTAAATTAAGATTCATCTCTTTCCGGCTGGGCATGTTGGCTCTCATCTGTAATCCTAGCATGTTGGGAGGCAGGAGGATCGCTTGAGCCCAGGAGTATAAGACCAGCCTGGGCAATATAGCAAAATGCAGTCTCTACCAAAATTACAATAATTAGCTGGGTGTGGTTTCCTGCCTGTAGTCCCAGCTACTCTGGAGGCTGAGGAGGGAGGATCACTTGAGCTTTGGCGGCAGAGGTTGCAGTGAGCCTCTATCGCACCACTTCACTACAGCCTGGGTGCGAGCCAGGCCCTGCCTCAAAAAAGGAAGAAATTATCTCTTGTGATGAACCTCATAGTGCTCTAGGTCTGTGCAAGATTTAAGGATTTTGGGAAATAATGACAACATAGCTGGGGAAAAATAGAGAGAAACTGGAGGAAGAGGTAAGCGGACATGGCTAATTAAGAAAAGCGGAGGGTATGATGGGTGAACCTATAAAATTTAGGACAAGACCCAAGTAGGACAATGAGTTTCCAAGACTTGCTCATTGACTTTCAGCCCTATGAGATGTGAACAATGTCCACATTGTCTCGGTAACTCCACTCAGAGTATATAGTTTGAACCTTAGCAAATTTCTGATATTTCACTATTTTTGACTTACAAAAATATAATTTCATATAATTTATCCTACATTCATTGAATCTCTTCTTGTGGAGTCTAGTTAGAGCATATAGGAGATGTAGGAGAAGCTAGTATAGAAAGGTTAAAAGAGATTCATAATAAACACTATCCTGGGCCAGGTTTTCAGAGGATGCCTTAAGTTCTTTAGGCACCAAAGAACACCCCACAGATGTTCTCTGTCTGTAGGGTGATACCAAGTACTAAAGATCTCGGCTTCAGCTCCAGGGATTTTTCCCCATAAGAAAGAAAGAGCACTAAGTATAACTTTTGTCAGAGAACCTATGTAAGCTACAGGGATACAGGCTTTATAAAGACTGGACTTCAGAAAGAAAAGAAAGTAGATAATGGGGAGGCCACTGGGTACATCTTCACATATGAGGAAGAGGGGCCAATACCACATGTCCTGTGGAGGACATAACACAGGATCATCTAGGAGAGACCCTTTGAATTCCCTTGACTCTCACAAAATTTTGAGAAAAAAACCTCCTTTTGTCTGACTTAAGTCAACATAATAAAGGGAAGTGCTGTATGGGGAATTTATTTTAGCATCCTTTTTCTAAATCCTCTAAAGACCCTGAGGACATGTGATGCAAAGTTTTATTGGTAGAGATTTGAGAAGAAATGACCTGTATGGAGGCCCCTTACACAAGTCTCATGGAGAGGGCAAGTAGCCAAGCTCCTTTTGTGGAGGAAGTAATTTGGGATCCATGTGATAAAGATGGGCAATCCCTGTTGAAAACACCACAAATTCTTAAGGGACATGGCCTGGGCACAGTGACAAATTTAGGTCCCTACTTTAACCCCCTTATAGTAGCTCAGCAACCACAGGGTGCACTTAGGTCCGGTGTCCCCAGCCAAAGCCAGTGGGGAGCTCAGCACCATCAGTGTCACTGTCAGCGCTGCCATGCAGGAGCCTCCAGGGAGCCTCAGACACACCATGCTGGAGAACAGGACAGGACCAGGTGCCAGGGTAGCAGGCAAGTCTCACATTCACGGAGAACTATGACCTCCCTCTACTCACATCCCCAACACAGGGAGTAAGGTACTAATTTCTTTGCTCCTGGGTTGGGTAATCTCGTGTTGGAGAACCAATCAGCATCTGAGTTCAATAGCATCATCAGTTGCTGCTCAGAGATGCAGTATGAAGGTCAGCTTCTGAAACAATTTCCTCCTTTAAATGATTGTTTTAATTTAGTACTTGGAAGGTTTGATCCAGTTGCATGTAGAACACTTTAACTGGGTCCTTATTGTGAGCCAGCTCTGTGCTGGTCAGTGATGTGTTCACAAGTTTGAGACTTGTAAGAGCATTCATTTCCCACTTGACAAGACAACTGTTTGCAGAAGTGAGTGTGTGAGTGTGTTTAGGAGTAAAGGAGATGGAGGCAACATGGTTGTAAATCTGGAGACCTGTAATCTAGTCCTTATTGCACCATATCTTAATGTCATAGATTTGGGAAAATTACTTCATGTCTCACAGTTGAAATGAAGGCACTGCGATCTTTCAGGTCTTTCAATACTGGAAAATGCTGTGATTCTGTGGACGCCTCAAGTAGCAACAGCCCCTGGGTATCTGATGATAGGACAGAATGACAGCTGTTAACTGGAGAGGGTATTCTGTACCTATTTCCAGGTAGGGATGTCTTTAATAAGTTAAAGGAAATGGAAAGTTTGTTAATAATTTAATCTGAGATTAAATTGTTTTCAAGTGTGTCTCCTGATGCTGCCCCCAAGTTTAGTGGCACCTCCAGAACACACACAGGAAGGGGCTTGCAGGGACCACCTATGTGCAATGGAGGGTCTGAAGGTGCCTTTGTATAGCACTTACCCTAACAATGTGATAAGGTCAACTGTGCAATCGAAGTATTCAGGGGTCTGAGAGATTGATCAAGGACTCAAAGTCAGCTGTTGACAGAACAACACTGCTGTAAAATAATTAATATTTTATGTGAAGAGTGTTCAATCCCTCATTCCTGGTTCCCATTAGGATTTCCTCATTTGATTGAGGTTATGGCCCTTTACTATTATGCTTCTTTTGATTTATCATAAGGGAAGATATAAGAAGACTGTGCTAACTAATACGTTACAGAATGTTCAGGAAAGAGAACCCTAGGGAAAAACTATGAATTACATCAGCTGATGTAATCATGTAATTTTAAACATATAATTCTACATTTAGATAATTATTATGCTTTATACTAATATAAATGTGACATCTAAGATTCAGAATGGACTTCAAAGTACGGCTATACATATAAAGCTCTGCATTAATTCACACTGTACCACAGTTCTGATAGGCACTCCTTCCTTATGTGCCTTAGTGTTTCCAGGAGCAGGATTCTCACCATGCTGCGATAAAAATGAGCATTTGACTTTGTACTCAGAATTGTACTAAAAGCTTTCTATGCTTCATATTTTTATTTAATTCTCACATCAGCTCAGTAAAATAAACACCGTTTTCATGCTTACAGGTGGAGAGACTAAAATGATGGAGATAAAACAAATTTTGCCAAGATACACTAGTAAACGGTACACTATAGATTGAGCCAAATTATATACCTCTCAAGCTCAGTCATTAGATCATACTCCTTCAGAAAGAAGGGGAAAAGCAAAAGAAAAAGAAAAAAGAAACAAATTTGTGAAAAAAAGAAACTAATTGTGATAGTAGTAATCCAGGAAATCAGCTAAGGTTCACGTTAGTATTTCAGGATTAAAGGGTGGTGATGCTGGCAGTGGCGAGCTGTCCAGAGTGGCCGGCTACAGCGGGAAGTTGCAAGCGGTGGCGGCAGGAGCCACTGAGGGAGTAGTGGCCGTGGTGGGACCCTTGTGCCCCATGTCCCCTGTGCCTCGCGTCACTGAGGCAGCTGACTGCACTGACCCCACTCTTGAACAGCCAGCAGGACTGCCCCCAGGCCCAGAGCCTTCACTCCTGCGTTGCTGCTCTCACCTTGCAGTCGTGGGGAGAGCATGGAGCTGGGGCCACCCTTCAGTGACCCGGGGTGGGACATGGGAGTGGCCTCACTTTGAGGACCCGCCCTGCCAAGGGCGCCCAGTTCCTGCGCCTCAGGAAGAGGCTCTGCTTGAGGCCGTCCAGGGTTTTGTCCCCGCGGGTGGCCACCCAGCCTGATGCTCCTGACAGCCAGGCCCGGGCTGTGATCTGTTCCCCAAGGTGCCTCCCCCGCCCCATCCAGGCGAGAAGGAGCCCCGGGCACCCTGAGTGCTAGCAGAATAACTTGCAGAGACATCACCCTTGCCCCAGATGCTGGCCTGCGCCCAGCGAGGGGAGCTGCCCACCCCAGGCTGCCAGAAGGTGTGACAGGGGATACCTGCAGGCTCCATGGAATGGGTTGGAAACCCCACCCTCCCGGCCCTCCCCACAGGCAACACGATCCAGGCCTCTCTACACTCCACTCCCTCAAGGCTGAGAAGGCCCTCCTGTCCATGCAGGCTTGGGGGTGTCTGTTCCCACTTTCTGGCCTCTCCTTTGGCCTCACCCGGGTCCCAGGTGCCCACTCTGATCTCAGAGTGGAGTTGGGGCAAAGCCCCAGTGCTGTCACAGACTGGCTGGGTGTGTGCACGTTCAGGGCAGTGTTGACACACCAGGCTTTTGCCACCTCAGTCACAGGGAAGCCAAGGGAAGATGGGCATGTAATATTTGAAGTAAGTTTCTTATAGGGAGCATGTCGAAGAGTCATTGCTTTTCACTCTGGCATTTGTCTTTTTACACACTTTACATGTAATGCAATTATTAATATGTGAGCTCTTATGACTGCCATCTGCTTTTTGTTTTCTTTTTTGTTTCCTTTGGTTTTTTCTTCTCTGGTTTCTTTTCCTATTTTCCAATGTGTTCCTTAAGCAATTTTTAGAATTCCATTTTTAAATCAATCTTTTTTTGGTGTATCTCATTGTATAGTTTTCGTGATTTATCTGTCTGTTAACATAACTTATCATAGTCTACTGGTGCTGACATTTTACCAATTTGACTAAAGTGTGGAAACTTTACCTCCTTTATAATCCTTTCCACTTCTGCATGTGTAATATATATGTTTTATTTTCTCTACTTGCATCAAAATCACATCTTGTCAGTGTTGTAATTTTTGCCTCAACCATCAAGTTAATTTACAAAACTGAAGAAGTCTGTTGTATCTAACCATATTTTTACTCATTTGCTGTTTACTTTTTTCCCAATTGTCCAAGATTTCTTCCATTATCATTTCTATTCCAGTTAAAGCACTTCCTTTAGCCCTTGTTTTAACATAAGTCTGCTAGCATGAAATTCTCTTGATTTTCCTTCCTCTAAGTATGTCATGGCCATGTGCAGTGGCTCACGCCTGTAATCCCAGCACTTTGGAAGGCCAAGGCAGGCGGATCCCATGAGCTCAGGAATTCGAGACAAGCCTGGGCAACATGGCAAAACCCTGTCTCTGCCAAAAATACAAAAAATTAGCCAGGCGTGGTGGTGTGTGTCTGTAACCCCAGCTACTCAGGAGGCTGAGGTGTGAGGATCACACGAGCCTGGGAGGCAAAGGCTGCAGTGAGCCGTGGTCGCGCCACTGCACTCCAGCCTGGGTTTTTTTTTTTAAGATGGATCAAAACTCCATCTAAAAAACGAAAAACAAACAAAAAAAGAAAAATAAAAGAAAAAAAAAGTCATGATAGAACATTTTATAATAATGTTTTTACTGGATATACATTCTAGGTTAACATTCCTTTCAGCCGTTAAAATATCTTGTGCCACTTCTGTCTGGTCTGCATGATTTCTAATGAGCAATCCACTGTCATTTAATTTATTTTCTCCTGTGCATGAGATGTCCTTTCTCTCTTGTTGCTTCCGAGATTTTTTTTGGCATAAATTTCTTTGGATTTATTTTCATTTGGGTTTGCACAGATTCTTGAATTTTTACATTTAAGCCTCTGTCCAAATTTGGAAAGCAGTCAGTCTTCCTTCAAGCACTCTTTGGGCATCACCCATTTGTCATTTCCCTCTAAGACTCCAGTGACACAAATTTCATACCTTTTGTTATAGTCTTACAGATTTATCAGCATGAAATAATACTAAATATTATGAACAAGGAAGATCCTGTCAAAAAAAAAAAAAACACACACACACAAAGAAAGAAAAAAGAAAAGAAGAAATTGTGAAAAAAAGAAACTAATGGTGATGATGGTAATCTAGGAAAGCCATCTAAGGTTCACCTTAGCATTTTAGGATAAAAGGGTGGTGATGATGGCAGTGGCGAGCTGTCCAGAGTGGCTAGTTGCAGTGGTAAGTTGCAAGCGGTGGTGGCAGGAATGACTGTGGGAGCAGTGGCCATGGTGGGACCCCTGTGCCCCATGTCCCCTGTGCCTTGTGTCCCTTAGGCAGCTGACTGTGCTGCCCCAACCCTTGAGCAGCCAGCAGGACCCGCCCCCAGGCCCAGAGCCTCCACCAGTCCTGCATTCCTGCTCTCATCCTATAGCTGTGGGGAGGGCATGAAGCTGGGGCCATGCCTCAGGGGCCTGGGGTGAGAAGTGGGAGTTGCCCCACTTTGGGGACCCATCCAGCGGCAAGGCCACTGTCCCACCCTGCCGAGGGAGCACTGTTCCTGGGTCTCAGGAGGAGGCTCTGTCTGAGGCCGCCCAGGGTTGTGCCCTCGGGGGTGGCC